>NC_000010.11:1979696-2131212 GCF_000001405.40 Homo sapiens | reverse complement strand
TGCCATCCACCAGCTTCTTCGAGGAAGATAAAACAAGAATGAAATTTTACCTTTACCGCAAGTTTAGAAAACAATCCCTTACCTCGTTAGCTGACACCTGCTGGAGGAACTCTAAGTACCACAGGATGCAGCTGGTACAGGATGGAGGGACCTGGGGAGACTCTATTAAAAGAACTTTCAGGATCATGAAATTTCATCAGACCAAAGGGCACAACAGTATTGAGAATGTTTCAGGCAGAGAGAGTGATCCGTAATTCACAGAGGAAGTTATTCAGGACTGTGCTTGATGACGGAACATAATTCACGTAGATTGGAGCAGAAGTCAGATACAGGAGGGCAGCAGCAGAAAGACTGGAACACTATACTATGCCCACGTTACAGCGTCTTGGAGACAAGAATGATCTGTTTAACTAATTTAGTCATCAGCTGGGCATTATTGACTGTTTGATAGTGTAGTCATTACCCTACAGCACTGACAGTTTTAATTTTCTCAATGACAGTTTTAGACCAGAAGAGAAACAGAAACGACAAGAGATTTCGGGGAACCTGAAGCATTTCTGGAACTACCTTTCATATGCATTAGATACTTAGGGATGTGAATGTGATATGTGAGGGATTTAGGAAACTTGGGATCAAATTTGACAGTTTGATCATGGTTTAGAACTACGAAAAATACTAGATTTTTAATCCATCAAATTTTGCTTTTAACATTATTCTAAAACCCAAAATGCTCTGTTCTGTGATACTGTCTAAACCTACTTTTCTGTAAGAAAATATCATATTAATTTTATCATTATGTCTTTTATTATTAAACCTCTTAAAGATATTTATTCGAAAATGCCTTTGTTTGTGGAAGATTACAAAGCGGTTTTAGTTTAAAAAAAGGTAGTTTGATGTATATACCAGTAAAAAAAGAGAAAGAGAAATTGAGCTTCACTAAAAGAGAAGTCAAAATTTTGAAATGCTGAGAAGATATAAGAATAAATCTATCATTATATCAAAGATATATTTTTCTCTCATTCATATAGCCTAATAATATTCTATAATCACAAGCATAAGAATATTATTCTGAGAGTCAGCAATAAGAATTAGTTGTCATGAAGTGATAACCAATGATGTTCATTCTCAAAAACACCTCTACAGCATATTTTGAAATGTGTATTTTAATTCACAAGTGTTCATAGATTTTATTATTGCAAGAAAAATGAACACCTATTCTTGAAGCAAATGCAAGCAATAACAGTGTTATGTACATTTCATTCTTGCTGGGAATTATGTATTTATAGATTTCATAATGAGTTATCTTTCTAGTGGTTTTTTTGTCCTGTATCTGTTTCTTCTGACATACATCTTAATTTGTCTTGAAACCTCATCACCTGAAAAAGAACCAGTGCTTATCTGCCTAAGAAATAATGTAGTTTTCTGAGAAGGGAGAAATAACTACTCTAAACATTTCAATCATCCATAAAATTGTGCAAATCTTTAAATAAAAACTTAACTTTAATATGGCTGTTGGAAATAGTTGAAGGTCTAAGTCAGTCACAGTTTCAAAAACATCACAAAATAAATTCACTAACGTTTTAAATAGCACTATTCTCTGACAAATTTATTAACTTTTTATGCAACTGTGAGAAATTATCTGGAATTCCGGGGAAAAGTCGTAGCATTAGGGTCAACTGCTGGCCAACTGGTAGTGTGGATATATTTTCATCACAAAGCTCCCAAATAATGATGCTTTTCCATGATCTTATATTCTAGGACATTATAATAAAAGTGTGCTCACACACACACAATATAGATTTAGTAGAACATTGAAAAGAAATATGAGAAAATGATCACATTATAGCTTTTCAGTTAATTAAATACAAAGATGAATGCTGAAGAACATGGATTTTTTCTTATCACATTGGAGCCAGCCCCTAGTTTCTTTAATTTCAGAAATTGGGAAATGCAGGATTCTCTATGATGAACAATATTTTTAGTGAGATAATAAAAACACTGTGTAATTACATACTGTTTTTAAGCTGAGCGCTTGGCAACAAGGCCTAACAGCAGACTGCTGAGTTGGCCGTGCTTTTCATTTCATTTGGAAATGCCCATTTGTGAGTGCTAAAAAGAATGATAATTTTTAGAATATATGATGATAAAAGTAGGTAAGCAGAGGGTAAATATAACTCTTGCCGATTATTTTCTAAGGAAGACCAAATATGCAATTATGCATTTCTTTATATGGAGAGCAGCTCCTATATCCTTTTCTATTCATTTATTTATATATGCATTCAGCAAACTTCAATTGAGTGTATACCACAGGCTAGAAGTTTTTATTACTGTGTAAGGCAGGCCACACTAGCTGCTAAAACAAACAAAACAAAACAAAACAAAATGACAATAAAAACATCATTTTGAATTTAGTCTTAATAAAACAAAAAGGTTTTTTTTTTCACATATTCCAGGGCCCTACATGAAATTATTAGGGTTCACTTGTTCAACACTGGAGGCCCCAGACCCTACGTCTCAAGGTTTTCTTGTTGCTTGAAGAGAAGGTGCAATTCCCCAACAAGACAATGCATGCTTCCATCAGGACCTGCTCCTAATGTTCCTCCTGCCCCCAGGCCCTAACCCCAGTTACATCAAAGTAAAACTTGGCCAGGGCCATTTCTGATAAGCTCCAGTAAGGGAACTGCAGTACAGAGCCATACATTCTGGAGGAAGCCCATGCCATGTGCGGTGGAGAATTATGCACCTCTCAGAAGACAGCTCCTGGTGCTCTAGTGGGCCTTGGCTGGTCAGAGCACCTGACTGTGAGTCCTCAGGTGGCCACGCAGTGAGTGTTGCCCTCTCCAAGCTGACTCTGTCAGACCCATCATGTTGCAAGGCCAGATGGACCCAGCAGGAGTCCAGCATAAGGGGAGAATGGTGAATCCAGTGCCATGTATTGATAGGAACATAACCGCAACAGCAGGGGTGCCATCTGCTTCTCACTCATCCATGCTGCCCACCACTGGGGCACCTTGCTTTGCTCAGCCCACACCTGCAGCTGCATGGAGAACCCATGAAACCTGGCAGACACAGGAGAAAAACGCCTGAGTGTGGTTAAGGGATTACGTAGTTTGGTCATTGGTGCAAGCTGAATACAGGCTGTCACTGCACCGTGCCCCTACTCACAGAAAATCTTGAAATGCAACAGTGGGAGGAGTCTTCACAAAGGGCAAAGATGTTGTGCATCCAGTTTCTATGGAAAGACTCAAAGCCAGTAGAGATAATAGATGCCCACTAACGGTCAGCGGTGAATGTTTGACCAGTTGATCGGAGCCAGCAAGAAGAAAGATTGGAGTGTAAGATACAAGGAAAACAGGTAGGTGGGTGGGCCTGGAAGGGTGGGCACTGCCTTCGGAGATCTTTGTAACAAGCTTTAACACCACAGAGAGCATCTATTTTGGAAGAGACACTAAGTAACCAAGCGGTTGAATTCAACCAGCCTCTGTCATTGTCCACTTGGGAGCTGCTACAAAAACGGTGTGATGGAGTAGTCATGGCCACAGGGAGGGAGGGAGACTGCTCATGAGTCCAAAAGCATCAGCTGTCACTTGCCAGGGGCCTCTACCTGCACCTGCTGCCAAACGTTCAAACTTCCAGCAACGAGACCTGCGCTTAGTTCTTCCTATAGCATCGTCCCATGAGAGACGACCAAGGGTCAAGTTAAGCTCCTTCCACAGAGAAGAGGCAGTAACATGCATTTGACTGAAATTGGCAGATGTCTTAGAAATGGGTCTGCCTTCTTTCCCTGAGGCCTCAGCCTATATCACTTCTGAAGAGCTTTCAGAATGCTGGAAACACCTCCACAGAATCCCATCAGTTATTTCACTGGAATAGGAAGCCCCCTTTACTATGAAAGAGATGTGGCAGGAGGCAGATGGGCATGGGTCGCTTGGGCCCACCAGTTACTGCGTGGTACAGGGGTGCCTGGGTATTGAATTGATGAAGGTATAAGAGGCACAGTGAAGAGGCCAGCTCCAAGATGATGCGGGAGGAAGCATGAAGATGTAGGACGCACCCAAATCAGTGACCCCTAGATGCTGCTACATCCAAAGCATTTACATTATGCAAACAGAGAGGGTGGCCTACTCATCATAACTCCCAGAAACACATCTGGGAAACATGTGATTCCTGCACCCCACAACTCCAGACTCCTCCTGATTCCCAAAGAAGGAGTTCTTGCATCAGGGTGAAGAGCCCCAATGTACTCTGAATATGACCATTACCCGGGCCATTCAGGTTCCCCTGCAAAGGAAGCAGCAGGTGCGTGAGTCACCTGCCTATGGCCAGGAACAAGCAGTGGCCCCTCTCCCCAATCTTATTAGTATCAGACCACCAGTCCCACACTCCCCAGTAACACAAGGAAGGAAGTAAAAATTACACACATTGGGGAGAAAGAAACCAAACTGTCTTTACTCACAAATACCATCCTTGTGCTTATAGAAACTCTCGGAGAACTTACAAAAGAGCTTGTGGCACTAATAAGAGAATATCACAAATTCATAAGACACAAGGTTAGTCTACAAAAGTGAATTACTTCACTACATACCACCAATAAAGGTGGAAATTTAAAATTTAAAAATGATACGTTTGCAAAAACCCCAAACAATGAAATACTTTTGCATAATCTAAAAAAATATGCTCAGGATCTATATGTGGAAAATCAAAAACTCTGGTTAAAAAATCAATGAAGACATAAATAGAGATGCAATCTCTGTTTGTGGGTTGGAAGACATTATTACTGAGATATCAATTATTTGCAACTTGGTCTATGGATTCCACACAATCAAAATCTCAGCAAGCTTTTTGTAGCTGTTGAAGAAGTAATGCTAAAGTTTATATGAAAAGGGAAAAGATGTAAAGCGGCCAACACAATACTGAAAAGAACCAAGTTGAAGGATGCACATCATCCAATTTCAAACTTAGTATAATGCAAAAATGATCACGCTATGGTTTCTCCATTCCATTGCCTAAATTCCTTTGTTAAAGATCATTTGATGTATTTGTGGGGGTCTATTTATAGGTTCTCTATTTTGTTCCAATGATCTGTTTGTCTATTCACTTGCCAATACCACATATCTTCATTACTGTAGCTTTGTAGTAGGTCTTGAGTTCAGCCCCACAATCCCCTATTCCACCCAAAGATGCATGCATCCTAACTCCTCAAACTTGAAATGTTACTTTATGTGGCAGCAAACGGTCTTTGCAGATGAGATTGAGTTACGGATCTTCAAAGGGGACATTATTCTGTATTATCTGGGTGGGCTCCAAATGCAATTACATGTATCCTTAGAGGAAAGAGGCAGAGGGAAGTCCCTCCCACAGAGGAGACTGTGACATGCATCCAGAACAGAGAGATTGGAAGATGCTGGCCTTGAAGATGGCAGTGATGTGGTCACAGCCACGGAGTGCTGGTTGTCACCAGAAGCTGGAAGAAGAGAAGATCTGATTTTCCCCTACAGCCTCTAGAGGAACAACCCCACTGAAACATGGATTATGGCCCAGTGATACTGTTTTATTGTGATGGGAACATTTAACATGAGATCTACCCTCTTAAAATACTTCACAATACATTATTCTTGACCACAGGTGCGGTGTTGTACGGCAAATTCCTAGAGCTCATACATCCTGCCTAAATGAAACTTTATACCAATTAATGATTTTCAGGTCCAAATAAGATTCAGCACCTCTTTTCTTTTCTTTTTTTTTCTTTTTTTTATTATATTTTAAGTTCTAGGGTACATGTGCACAACGTGCAGGTTTGTTACATACGTACACATGCACCATGTTGGTGTGCTGCACCCATTAACTCATCATTTACATTAGGTATATCTCCTAATGCTATCCCTCCCCCCTCCCCCCACCCCACGACAGGCCCCATTGTGTGATGTTCCCCTTCTTGTGTCCAAGTGTTCTCATTGTTCAATTCCCACTGATTTTCTGTAATTTGTTGTATACTTTAAAATAAATCAAAAAGAAGACTTTTAATATTCCCAACACAAAGAAAAAATAAATGTTTGAGGTGACAAATAATCCCACACTGATTTGATCATTACACATTGTATACACGTATGTAAATATCACACATACCCCCAAAATATGTACCCTTAAACTATGATATATCAATTAAAAATAAAAATAAGTTATTTCTGGGTGATCTCTGCGAAAAGAAATTTTTTTCTTTCTCTTTTTTCATTGTTTTTCATCTATAAAATGGGATTGATGGCACCAAGCTTATAATAATGAAACGAAGAGAAGGTGGTTTAATTTATTAGGAGTGCCTGGCACACGGTAGGCACTGGATACAGGCTTGCTATTTGTGGTATGTGATTATATTACGTTATGGTATGTTATGGTGTTATACGTTTAGGTTATGTTTGCTATTATGTTAGTCACATGGCTGTTCCCACTAATGGGGATTGTAATTGTCTTGTATCCTCAGTTTATGTTCCTTAAACATAAACATTTTATGACACGATGCTTTGCACCACAAAAGTGTGCAAATGTTGTTGAATTACTTAAAATTTGAATAAAGTGTACTGTAGGAGATGAAGACCTCACAAGACTTTATCTTTGCTTAAAATATTAATTCAATAAAACACTGCCTCTTTACATAATCTTTTATCGACTAGTGAGGGTTTAAATGTCCATTCTCACAGAAATCTTTGCTCGGGTTTCTGGAACTTAAGTTGCAATTTTAAATGTTTTCTGTCAAACGGAAGTGTCTAGAAATCCATCCATCCTCTTTGAGGTTGCACTTCCCAAAGCCGTGGAAGATCAATGCAGCAGCACCCGATGACACGCTGTATTTATGTCTCAGACGTTCACCTCACCTGACACCGTCACTGTGGCACGCTTGTTACCTCGGTTCAGGAGAAACACAAAGGGGTGTGGAGTTACCCACAGGGCATGCGGTTCTCAGCCCATGTCAGTCGCTAACCAACATTAGGATCTTGGACAAGTAAATTGATTCCTCTGCTCCTCAGCTTGTTTATGTATAAAATAAATTATTTTTACATTAAATCAGTGTTTTCCAATCTGCTTTGTTTTCTTTCTCAGAGATTATGCAGAAATGACTTGTGTGTATTTTTAGTTGATTTATCATAGTTGTACATACGTACATATATGGGGGATATGTGTAGTATTTGTATATGTGTAGACAATATATGTCATGACCAAATCACTGTGATTGGAATTCTCCACCACCTCAAACATGTATCATTTCTTTGTGTTGGGAAAATTAAAATTCTTCTCTTCAACCTGTTTTGAAATATGCAATAAATTACAGAAAACACTTTAGAAAAGAGGTGCTGAATCTTATGTGTACATAAAAATCACTAATAGGCATAAAGTTTCATTAAGCAGAATTAATAACCTCTAGGAATTTGCTGTATAGCACTGCACCTATGGTCAACAATAGCCTATTGTATATTTATTTTTTAAGAGGGTAGATCTCATATTAAATGTTCTATCATAATAAAATTGAATTTGAGAAAACACAAAGGCTGTGTTGAAATGTGAATTATTGGGCCTGGCCCCAGAGATGATGGTTCTGTGTGGATTCTGATTTCCAGGGCAGCCTGGGTGAGGGGTCCCGTGTCTTGTTAGAAAGAACAAAGCCAGGTAAGGTGAGAGAGGCCAGGTCTTCCTTTTATGATTCAAGGTGTCTCGCTTTAATCATATTAGCTTTGTTTTTTTTAAAATTTTTTTTTAATGTTGGGGTTGGCCTAAGAATTTGCTTGAGAATAGAATTCCGTTTCTCCTAAAAATAAAATAAAAGTTTGAAAACCAATGAGATAATGAATGTGAATTTCCCAGCAGAGCTTGGGTTATAAGAATCACTCCATTATTTAGGTATTACTTTTGGAAGACAGATGTGAATCAGTGACTTAAAAGCCTCAAATTATAAGGTGCTTTGATCACTGTGATGTTATGTATTTAGGTTAGGTTTAAAATGATATGCAAACATATCCCGTCAAGACAAATTGCTTAAAGCATTAAAGCAATGCAAGTGCACATTTGGGAAGAGTTGAAATGAACTAGAGGTGCTGTTGGGATCAATGTGATCACGAATCCTAGTTGCATTTATATGTAATAAACAAGATCTCAAATTCTTTTTCATCCTGGTCTGCAGTAAGGCACGCCTCCTGAGATGGGGGACTGAGGTAGGTCCCACAGCATGTGCAGTGGTCAGTAAGGTAAGTTGGAATGGAATGTTTAATTCCCCGGAGTTCAGGACCATCAACTGTATCACCCTGGATGAATGCATTAGCCTCTCTGAGTCATTTACCTGATTATTTTTAAGCATGCTATTTGTTCTCCTTAACTTCCAGCATTGATGTATGGTCTCCAAATGGGATAACTTGTATGAAAGAGATTCATAAACTGTAAACACATAAAGATATTAAAAGATAACTATATAAGCTTCAAGTAAGCTTAAGATCCCAGATTTAGAATGGTTAAAAGGGAAACTTTAGCCAAATTAAATTTAAAAGAGTATAACTGAACAATGAGTGATTCATGAATCAGGCAGCCTTCCCAGCCAGACTGGGCTCAGAGACTCCAGTGCAGCCACAGGGTGGAAGAAGATTTTTGGACAGAAAAAGGAAAGGAAAGGAACGTACGGAAAACGGCAGCGAGGCACAGAGACAGCCACACGGGTTACAGCTCAGCCTTTACCTTATTTGAATGGTCAGCCCCCTTTAATTGGCAAAAATTCAGTGATTGGCATAAGCATAGGCTGTGGTCTGTCTACATATCCATTTAGGCTGTGGTTCACAAGGTACAGAGAAACTTTCAGGCCAAACTTAAAATATGTATAGAAGCCCCTTTAGGCTAAACTTGATTCAACAGAAACTTCAAAATATTTGGACCTGATACACGCAGGCAATATATCAAATAAAGATTAGGGAGTAACTGCAATGAAATATTGAACATATTTATTGCTACCATGAATGCCTTTCTCCTCAGGCTTAGCAGGGCGGCATTTGCCAAAGAGGAGACTGTGTGGTGTGAAGGCTGCTGGACCGAGAGCAGCACAGACGTCAGTTTGCAGCAATATCAATGACAAAGGCCAAATGGGAGAGCAGGGCAGTTGGCCATTTGGGGTACATCCAAGATGGAAAAGCTCAAGTAAACGTTCTTATAATTATTTTCAAGATGTGGCATTAGTTATATTTATAATGCCACATCTTGAAAATGAAATATATATAACTTAAGTGCATATTCTTTGAAAATGTGTATTTATTTGAGAGAACCTACCTGTTAGGTCTTTCATCACCAGTTTCTTAAGACTTGTATTATATTTTATTTCTTTTCTAAATGTTTTACTTGGAACCTGACAAAATGAATATAGTATAGTTAATGCTATATAAATACTTACTGACTTACATTGAAAGAAACTGCATTTTCATTTGTGGAAACATTTCTTCACTTTTGTATGACAGAAAAGAAAAATCAGGGATAGCTTTTTCTTTTGTTTCTTTACTGAGACAGGGTCTTGCTCTGTCACCCAAGCTGGAATTCAGGAGTGTGATCTTAACTCACTGCAGCCTCAATCTCCTGGGTTCAAGCTGTCCTACTTCCTCACCCTCCCAGGTAGCTGGGACTACAGGCTCATGACACCATGACCAGCTAATATTTATTTATTTATTTATTTATTTATTTATTTATTTATTTATTTATTTATTAGTAGAGACAGAACAGAGTCTCACTATGTTGCCCAGACTGGTCTTGAGCTCTTGGCCTCAAAGAGTCCTCCTGCCTCAGCCTTCCAAAGTGCTGGGATTACAGGTCTGAGCCATCACGCCTGGCCACTGGCAGCTATTTAATGCTGGGTAAATATGTTTATCACTGTCACTCCATCTCAATTAAGGCAATCTTTTGCTCTTTCATTTCTTTTTCTCAATTTGGAGGAGGAGAATTAAAACCAAAAATTAACGAGGACAACCACCTTTTCAGTACTAAGGTGAACAGATTTGGACAGAAAGAGGAATCTCAGCTTATCCACTGCCCCGAGTGATGTTATCTTAACATGACAGATGTTTTTTTCAAACTTTTCATCACTGCCATTCAGCTGTGAGAAGAGAATGGAACGTTTTGTGAGTCGGAGGCAGTCACTGCTTCTCAATGTCTTTTCAGAGGGCTCCTGTCTTTCTGGAAGCTGAGTGATTACCGCTGAAGGCTCTAAAGCGCATGCTTGGTCTTGGTCATTAAGCGAGAGGGCTGGGCGACCTCAGTAATTAAAACGCTCGGTCCACTTGAGCCTCGAGGGCCTCCTGCAGCCAGTGGTGCTGGCCAGACTTCTCTGAGCAGGAGGGAAGGTTCCAGCTGAGAGAGGTTTTTAAAGTTTAGCTTAAAAACATGCTTGGAGCCTCTGATCCCACCAGGTGGTTACTTGTCAAATATGCTTTGCCACCATTAGCTGACCTGAGAAATAATTTGTCTGCCCTTCAAAAGAAATTAAGTGAAAATCCAGGCTTTTCCAGGCAAGGGAGAGTAGCCTGCAGGACCAGAAAAGAAAATTATCACCTGCCGTGGCCACTGCGCTTCTCCTGCACTCAAGGAAATACCAACTTTACGATGCCGTCAAAAGTCAGCTTTTTTCTCTCTACATTTTAGCGTAGGAGTTGATTCTTCTTTATCTGGAAAAAGGTTTCTGAGTTTTTACTTTATGCTTAAAAATTATTGATTAAAAAGGCAATTAATTAATTTTTTTAAAGTCACGTTCTTCAGCAAAGAATTATCCTAGTAACTATTGTAGAAATATTCTTGAACATGAAATACCAAAAAGCATCATTCAATTTCCAGTAACATTAAAACAAAGTTAACAGAGGGAAATAGGGCACAGGCCTGTGGGGTAATTAATGAATATTTATTGAGTCTTGTGTGGGACAAAATGGGGAAAATGAGATGTGTAAAGTTCTCTCCACAAGGTGCTTACAGACAAATTTAGGGGAAAAAGGTGAACACGCGGACATAATACTCATCATACAGGAGATAAAAAGAAATGACTTAGGCAAATAGTGAGGGCAAGGGAGTCCCTCAGTAAGGTTTCCTTTTCAATAAAAAGCAGCCCCCAAATAATTTCTTTTCTAACAAAAAACAACCTGTAAAATCGAGCTGTAAACATAGATAAGCAAGCTGGACACTTGAAGGGTGAATGCCGGCAGCTATGCTGATAAGAAAGGGGCTCCCTGGGAGCCAGGCATGTTCAACATGGCAGCTCCATCTTCCCTTTTTTTGGCCAATCGCGTGCACAGTAAGGAGAAGACAACAGGGCATTGGCCAATCAAAGACCCCATTTCTTCATTTGCATAAGAAAAGATTAAGGTGGGGCACCAGCTTCCTCTCACGCTATGTAGAGGTCACACGTGGTCCAACCAATCTTTGGGCCCTATGGAAATCAGACACCACCTCCTCAAGCCAGTCTATAAAGTCCCATGCACTTCTCTGTGGGTTGGAAGACCCACTCAGGCACCTCTCTCTCTGCAGGAGAGAGAGCTATTCTCCTTTCTCTTTCTTTTGCCTATGCAACCTCCATTCCTAAACTCACTCCTTGTGCGTGTACGTGTCCTTGATTTCCTTGGCAAGCTGCAACGAACCTCTGATATTACCCCAGGCAAAGATGCCTCTTCACTGAGAGTACAGCAAGTTCTAGGATACCACGATGATTCATTCACCATATACAGATTTGCAGGCCAGCCCAGTTCAGCAGAGTCAGGGGATTTTCACAGAGAACGTAGACATGAGCATCTTTCCATTGTTAAGTTTTCCAAAAACTTAAAGCAAAAAGAAGGGTTTGTCAGTGCAAGCTATTCTGCGTAGCTGCCCAGCATCATGGGATTTAAAACCAGGCCATAAGGAATACCCAAGCCAGGTGCAATGCCATCAGCCTGTGAACCCCAAATATCTAAGACAGATCTCAGTCAATTTAGAAAATTTATTGTGCCAAAGTTAAGGATGCACGCCCATGACACAGCCTCAGGAGGTCCTGATGACACGTGCCCAAAGTGGTCAGGTAACAGCTTGGTTTTATACATTGAAGGGAGACATGAGACATCAATCAATATGTGTAAGACGTACACTGGTTCCATCCAGAAAGGAGGGACGACTCAAAGCGGAGAGGGGGCTTCCAGGTCATAGGTAGGTAAGAGGCAAACAGTTGCATTCTTTTGAGTTTCTGATTAACCTTTCCAAAGGAGACAATCAGATATGCATTTATCTTAGTGAGCAGAGAAGTGACTTTGAGTTCTGTCCATCCTTGTCTACAGGGAAATTCCTCGTGAGGGAGGTATGTAGCTTTCTTATCTTAGTAGCTATCTCTTATAGGAATAGAATGGGAAGCAGGTTTGCCCTAAGAAGTTCCCAGTTTGACTTTTGCCTTTGCCTTAGTGATTTTAGGGTCCCAAGATTTATTTACCTTTCGCAAGTCAAAACATCCAACATCTCCAAATCAAGGGAGAAAGCTCTAAAAAGATGACCCTTAGAAATCACCCCATGTTTATTCTACAATATTCTAAATCCTTTATCCCAGGCTTTGAGGAAAGACATTTGTCTATACCATCACATACAGAGCACTGAAGCTGTAAACATGTTAACAAGACCAAATGGGGAGGGCCAGAGAAGGAAAATGATCCTTCCCAGGGCAGCGCAGCTCAGGGCTCCTCTGGAGAATTGAGCAGGGCTCCATCTTCAGCACTTAATTGGGGAATTGACATTTCCACAGCAGTGTGCACAGGCAGAGGCAGGGAGCCTTCCCATCCCAGAGTTTCTAAAGAGCAGTAAACATGAAGAATTGTTTTCTTAACATATGCAAATTCTCTTTCCCTCACTACGCTTTGTTTGCCTAGGTACGATTATTACACCTGATGGGACCCTATCATTTATTCCTTCAGGGAGCATTTGGGAAGCCCCAGAATGAATATATCAGTGCTAGACATAGGAAGATCAGCCACCATCTGTGCCTTCAGTTAACACAGGGGCCCACATGGCCAACACTTCAAGGAGCACTTCTGCATAGCAGTTGAAGGCTGTATGGAGGCGTCATGCAGGTGAGGAGTCAGACAGTTACAAAGTGCAAAATTAAATGGTCTAATTTAAAAATTCATATTATTTGCAACAGTGTGTGTTTGCTGTATAACAAGATCTCAGGGGTATACAGCAATAACCACTCATTGTTCCCAGACATCTTGGTTGGGCTCAGGTGGATGGAGGACATGGTTTGTCTGGGGCAGCTGAGTTCTGCAGTCTCTCACCCTGGGCCTAGCATTTTGGGCTAGCCTAGGCATGTTCTTCTCATGGTTATGGGGGATGTGCCAATAGGAACCTATGAGGCTGGGCTGGGAGTGGCATGTCTGGCTTTCCTCATTCTTTCCACCAAATGCAGTCACATAGCTGATGCAGGCCTTGATGCAGAAACACACCCTACTGATACCAACAGAAGACAGGGAAATACTGGGTAGAAGAGAGCAGTTCACCGGCAAAGGCCCCACCCTCAAGCCTGGAGACCTGCAGCCCTAAGTGGGAACAGGCATTTCCGTTTTTGTGCCCAAGAAGTTGCCTTTTGGCCCACCATGCCCCCCATTCTATACCCATATAAACCCCAAACCCCTGGCTCCAGAGGCAGATGAGCAGGTGAGGAGATGAGAAGACAAGCAGGCAGACAGCGAAACAACGTGGCAGAGAAAGAGAGAAGAGGAGGACTGTCTGAACATAGAGAGGAGTCTGGCTGTGAGCGGTTGGAGAGGAGTCCAGCCGCTAGATGGCCATTCTCCAGGGGAAGATCATCTTCCCACTCCATTCCCCCTTCCAGCTCCCCATCCATCCCTCTGGGAGCCACCTCCAACCACTCAATAAAACTCCCTCATCGTCCTTCCCGTCCATGTGTGATCTGATTCTTCTGGGATGCTGGACAAGAGCTCGGGATACAGAAAGCTGTCATACTGGTCCTCTGTCCTTGCAGAAAGGCAGAGGGTCTGCTGAGCTGGCTAACACTCACGCCATCCCAGGATGGCAGGGCTAAAAGGGCATGCCCACTTGAGCTCCTGCACCTGTCCATCTGTCTGCTCCCCCCAACATCAGGGGCTAGAGCAGCAGCTGCCACTGAACAGTCAAGCCACACCCCTGTCACACATCCTGTGAGGGGGATCAGGGAACTCTCCCATTTCACACCCATTGGTGAGAGGAAGTGCAAACACACAGAAAAGGGGGTGGAGGTAGGGAAACGGAGAAGGGGGCCCAATCGTGCATATAGCACACTGTGTGTGGTCAATTTTCTTAATCAGAGTCATGAAGAAAACATCAAATCACACGTGACTGCTTCAGCACATTTACTTTATTTTTAAACCAGTGGCAAAGCCAGGTTGATGTTGGAAAGCCAGTCGGCCAACATCAAACAATGTGGAAAAGCTCCTTGAGATGACTCTGTGTGAAGAACTCACAGGGGTGGGAAGTTGACACTCTATGGTAAACCCACATGGGCCAGAGATAAGAAACCCATGGAAAATGCATGTTTTAAGATTATTTTAAACAAAAGCTGCTATTCTTTGCCATTTGCTGTCAGCTCCTGGGTCACAAAATGGAAGGCAGCTCTAACAGCTGTGGAAGTAGGCACACGTTTGACTGAAGAAAATCCACATCTTCTGCACACACAGGCTGGAGGACACACCGCCCTCTTCAAACATACAGAATTACAAACTATGGATACCATCTGCAGTGTTTAAATTCCAAATGAAATGTCATTTTTCCCATTTTTATTTGAGTGGTACTGGTTTAATACCCAAATTTATGTCTGCAAGACATGGTTAAAAGTTCAGAACACCTTTAATTCACCTTTTATTTGCATCGTTAGCATAAATACTCTTACTGTAGAGAGAGGATCTTTCTGAGATTATACATAGTGATGTGTTGAATTATTAGACTAAGAACAGGAAACCTTTAGGCTGACTGTGAAATCAAGGCAGGAACCACGCAAAGTCCCCTCTCCTCTTTTTAAGATAATGGACCTCCCCGCAGATGTGCAGTTTGAGAGATGAGTGCAGCAGCAGGAAAAACACAGGCTCTGTGCAGACACCAATCACCCCAGCAAGGTGGGCCTGGCTGAATGCTTGGGGCATTCACTTAGCTGAGCTGAAAATTACCCCCTTCATGTTGTCAGAGAGGTTGTTATTTCTGCTTCATGGTCCTTAGAAAAGTCACCTCTGCTTTTGAGAGATGTAGGCAGCTTTTGAAAAGCCTCCTGCAGTCAATATGTCCCCCTAAAGCTACTGGCACCTTTCCCAAGATGCCCTGATACGGACTGACTCTGACCACAACCTGGAGAGAAGCTCCACCGCGGGAATGAAGACAATGGTTCCAAAATCCTCTGCTCCTTTCATTAAATTTAAAGTACATCTTTATGTACTACAGGGAGGGAAGCTACAGGAGTCTGAAACAGCAGAATATGCCCTTAACATTCAATTTCTGAATAGATGACTCTAGAGTTATTAGTGGAAAGAAAACTATTCTAATCACAAATTCACAAATAACTAATTGTGAGTGATCTGAAGCAAAGCCTCTTTTTTCCCTCCCTAAATCTTCTTTCTCAGAAAAGGGAACAAACTCCTTGATTTCTTGAAAATATTTTTGCCTAAAATTAAAGTATTACGTGGAAAAATATTTTATTTTTTATTTTTAATAAGAAATTCAATAAATTGATGATGCTTCATATAAAAGTAGCAGAAGGAATAATGAAAATAGAAGAGACGAAGGAAATAAAGAAAAGAGAGAGATAGGGACTGTGGAACATCGTATTTCTCTTTAATGTTGCAGGGGCAGGATTTTCCGGCCTGAACATGGATGTTGCGTTTTAGTTAGAGCATTGCTTAACTCAAGAAGAAACAAAGGAAACATAATCATTATGTTTGTGGACGAGGACAGATGACATTAAGCTGTTTAAGGCATTAAACTATTACAATGTAATGGAAAATGTTATTAAAAATATCTTAGAATGGCATGTCTATGAGCAAACACTCTTCTGGAACTGGATAGTACTATCGATATCAGAACATGTAAAAAGTTAGTTCCTAAATAATGCAGATTTAGGCAAACTCTTCAGTTCAAATAAAAATATAAGGGGAAAAAAACGGAACTTACCACTGAGGCATTCACCTTGACAAACTTGGTTTCCATTGTTCTGAGAGGTGTGAAAAGGAAGTAAGCCCGATTTCTTTATTTCTTATTATTTTTTTTTTGAGATGGAGTCTCGCTCTGTCGCCCAGGCTGGAGTGCAGTGGCGCGATCTGGGCTCACTGCAAGCTCTGCCTCCCGGGTTCACACCATTCTCCTGCCTCAGCCTCCCAGGTAGCTGGGACTACAGGCGCCCATCACGATGCCCAGCTAATTTTTTATATTTTTTTAGTAGAGACGGGGTTTCACCGTGTTAGCCAGGATGTCTTGATCTCCTGACCTCGTGATCCGCCTGCCTGGGCCTCCCAAAGTGCTGGGATTACAGGCGTGAACCCCCGTGCCCGGCTGTAAGCCCGGTTTCTGCCGTAGCATGCAGCCACTGGTAGATTATCGTTTGGGTTTTGTCAACCCAATAGGAAAGCCATGTAGTCTGAAAATGAATTTTGAGCCAATTCAGACAATTCAGGCAAGCTCAGCGGGCTGCAGGAAAGGGGGGCAGGCCTGTGTTCCCTTCGCAGGGGGCTTTACCTGGATGCAACTTGGTTACGTAGTTTCCGAAGCCCTTGGCCTTGTTGCTGTTTCCCAGTCTTGCACTGATTGAAGTGAAACAGAGAACAGTTCTGTTGGAATCTGATAGCAACCCCTGACCCGTGGACACGCACATTCACTCAGCAAATGCACGCTGGGCTCCAAATCCCTGCTGGGCACTGTGCTGGGGTCATGTCTACCCAATGCAAAAGCCAATCCTTGTGTTCTCTTAACATTTGGTGACTGGTTCACGGGGTGGACAAGTAGCTGATGTGTTAAGAGTGAAAAGATGTCTGGAGAAAGCTACCATCATTGATCACCCAACAGGAAAAGACGTTGAGTGACATTAACGCAATCCAGGAAAGCCATGTTCTTGGATGAGCTACAGGTTTCCCGTCACCAGAGAGATTCAGAGTGATGGAGGTTGGGGAGGTAAATAATGAAAAGTATGCTGAATTATCTCCCGGTTTTCTATTCTTGGTGATTTACTGCAGTTTGTACAGTGGAGGAATGGGGCAATCTTCTGACTCTTTGGGAAATGGCCTGTAAATGGTAATGGTTACCATTGTGCCCTCAAAGGAATCCCAAAATATCCTACCAGATCTTCTGTGGTTAGGGATTTTAATGAAAAGCGTAACCTTTTCTAAACAGCGTAATGGCTTATCATTTTGAACTTGATCTCTTTGTATCAAGAGAAGACATTTAATAATGTTTATCTCTTTTTAATTTAACCTTTAAGAGATTAAAGGGATCCAATGTTTGTTATTCTGTTAAACTTTTATTTCTCAGTTGAAAATTTCCACAGGTTGCCCTTCTTCCAAAAGGTAATGACTGAAATCCCAGCATGTTGAGAGGCTGAGGCAGGCAGATCACCTGAGGTCAGGAGTTTCGAGACCTTCCTGGCCAACATGGTGAAACCCCGTCTCCACAAAAAATACAAAAATTAGCTGGGCATGGTGGCACACACCTGTAATCCCAGCTACTCAGGAGGCTGAGGCAGGAGAATTGCTTCAACCTGGGAGGTGGAGGTTGTGATGAGCCGAGATCGTGCCTCTGCACTCCAGCCTGGGTGACAAAGAGAGACTCTTGCTTGAAAATAAATAAATAAATAATAAAAAGGTAATGAGTAAGGTATAAATAATGTTGGCCAAAAATGACTGGTTTTATGATCTGTAAAGCCACATAGCTTACAAAATTTACTTATTTTATATTTGAAATAATAAAATCGATGCCAGTTTTTTTATACTCAACATGTCACATATTTTTCTACATTTTGCTTCCATTTGATTGTGTAAAAATAATTACTCTATCTTTATATTCTCTAATTTTGAACATGGTATTTTGAACAATTTTTAACATCAGCATCCTCTGAAATAGATTAATTATGAAGACTCATATTAACTCAAAATAAGTCAACAATAAGTATAACATAATAGTAGTATAATAGTATAATAAAATTTCTAGATGTAGAAATTTTATTTAAAAAATTGCCTACTTTTCCAGTAAGAAATGTTATGATTCTCTTTCTTAAAAGCTGTCTTGTTACAGTTTTTCATCTTATTTCTTCTGTCATGAGCAACATCATTTCATATTTGGCAATGGTTAACTGAATAATTGACCAAAACTTCAAACATACTGCATTAAACATACATAGCTTAGTTTAATAAAATCACTAGTAATCTCTATTCATACACAATCATGTTTTAAAGACACCTGTATGATTTCGGAACATTAATCTGGGAGACAGGGGCACAGTATCCTGCTAAAGCATAGACCATAATTGTTTTACAGTCGCATGCTCAAACTCTCAAACTCTTCCCCTCAAAGGACATTCCTTAATTTTTAACTTCAGCAGACTCTTGAATACATTAATTCGAAGACTTCGAATAACTCAAAATAGGTCAACAATGACTACACTATAATAAACTCCATAACATGTACCGTCTGAAAGACATCCTTAGTATTGCACCCTTTATCACAGTGTAACATGCTGGTTTCTTGGATAAAAATATAACAAAGTTCCTACATGGACTGTAATCTCTTTACTTTCTCATGGGACCTTGCAGAATCGATTAACTTTTCTACTTAATATCAGCATGCATCATGGGATGTAGCAAAACATTCCTTTATTATGTCGATCACAGTTTGGTGGTGCACCCTTCAGACTTCCATGAAGCACCAGGATGTTAGGGCAATCTCTTATGAAACGTTGACCTCTCCTGTGGTGGAGATGCCCCAGGGTAATGAAGCTGAGATACTCCCTAACCGCCACGGAAGGCTTGGCTTACATTCCAGGAGGGCAAGTCATCTCTCCCAGCAGAGGAAGTGTCAGGTGAATGTGACAGCAGTCGATGAAGAATTCAGAGTGTCTTAGTTTTGCGGTTCCTGCAGTTCAATCCACAGAACTCGTGGGTAAACATCTCACCCTCATCACACTGTCCTTTGGGAACTGGGGCATGGTAAACAATGCGGATAATTGTTCAGGCTGCTGCTTTTGCTGTGAGTCATGTTCAATTTCTGTCTCTGACCCAGGGATCTTTTGTCTTCTGTCAGGATACATGTGGGAAATTGAGATAGGCAGCCTGTTAGTTTGCAAGTAGGTAAAACCTCAGACCCACTACAGTTTCAGACTTAACACGTTTGTGCATAAATAAAACAGAAATGCATCTATACAAAAATATAAAAGATAAGAATTATCCAGATCGTAAAGATTCACTTTTATTTATTTGACTATAAATATCAAAAACATTATGAATATGACCAGAGGAATTTAAACGTTGTCAAAGTTTCTAGACATTTCTATGCTAATTATATTTATGACATTGCCTACTAAGTAACTTTTCAAGCAATAGAAGAAATTAGAAGAAAGGAACAGGTTGCCTGGAGTTGGAATTATAGAGGTCAGGATTTGAAAGTAACAAATATATCTAAAGGAGCCAATCCGGAAGCTGTTCTATCTAAGTTAGGCCATCAGGACAAATTTCGGATCAGAAGTCAAAATCCTGAATTGCAAAATTCAGACATTTAAGCTGCCCTATCATAGAGCTTACAAAGGAGATGATGACAGAGCAGAGCGCCTAGGAACTGGGAGTCCCTTCATGGCTGATAGGAATCCTCCTGCCTCCCAGCTCTGGTTTCCTCAGTGGTTTGGTCAAATACTAATGTTGAAATCAATACTTCACGCTTATTTGCTCCTGAAGTCAGCAGATTAGCACTCAGAGATGACCTCCGAGTTGCTCCTTTATAATTTTAAGAGGGCATTCAGCTTAGAATTTTAAAATCAATAGAAATCAAATCTGGCTAAGAGGAGTTATTCTATTGTTCGCATTACTAATATTATATAATATTGACTCAAAATCCAATAAAGCATTTTAAAGCACCTGAAAAAAAACACTAATACCCCCTTTGATAATATGCACACCTTCTTACAAACACAACTGCATGTTTATGGGACAAGGAATTTGCATTCATTTAGAAGTTACTTTATAAAATTTGCTTATGAGATTAACTGGAAGAACCTGAATCATTTGTTTTTCTAATTTCTGGCTTTAAAAAAAGTACTGTGTAAGGAAATGAGCTTATTCATGAAAGCAGAAGTTCCAACTCAGTGAATGTAATGGAAAAAGCCAATAATTTGTTTTTGTAGGCTTTTTCTTGAGATTTTAATATCAATATATGTCCTTAATTTACCTCTAATGCTGAGAACTTTTTACATTTTAGTTCTGCAAGAGCAGCTTTATTTTCTAGGAAAAAAAATATGGTTTTGAAGTCTTTTTATAGAAACTGAGTCTTATATCTTTAATTGTTTTCAAACTTAATCATATTTCAAATAATTGTCTTGGAAGATAATGATAGCTAGGGTTTATTTATTGTTTATTTGCACCAGGCACTATTCCCAGTGTTTTATATTTATTCTCTCATTTATTCTTTCCAACGACTCTATGAGATAAACATCCTCATTTAACAGATGAAGAATTTGAAGCAAGAGAGTTAAACTACTTGCCCATGCTGTCAAAGACAGTTTTGCAATACTAATATCTCGACCAAGGTCAGACCCTAACTCCTGGCCTGCAATTACTGCTCTAATCTGTCTTATTTATGGTAACTTCAGCAAATGCTTCTGAATATCTCTATCAATGCCCCAATAGCAGGCTAACAAAAAAAAACGTGAATTGTAAAAACGAAGGCCAAAATGAAATAGACATGGATAAAATATAAAAAGTAATTTCATTCCAAATTTAAGATAACTATCACAATTGGCAACTAATTCCACAGACTATTTCTTGAATAAGGAAGAATTGCTTAAAAGACAGGCAATGTAGTCAGATAATATACTAAAAAAGTCAGTACATTTGAGACTTCCTTTTGCGTCTGCAAATTTTAGATGGCAGAAGCAATAAAGGTCAGACCATTACAGAAAAGTTGGAATATGGCAAAAGCAATATTTAGAGGTGAATTAATAAATTCAAAGTATATCCATGTGCTTTCCCCAGCTCATCAGTTTCCAATATTTCATATATCAAAAAAGCCATATCCATGTAGTTATTAATGCAATCGTTGAAAATTGTGGTGAGAACAAAAATTTTATTTAGATAACCAATTAGGAAGTTAGAAATCAGAAGTATTATCAGAGACATAAATATTTGCAAGTTTTCAAGGCAAAAATATGTGTTTTGCCCAAGGTTAAAATGCACAGGTTGAAACTGCTGTGAAAAACAAATATAATTCTGATTTAAGAAACTGATTTTTAAATAAATAAAAATACAGTATCACTTAAGATCATAATATCTTAGCAAATCTAAATGTAAATATTCTACCAAAATTATGTGAGGTTTCTTCCCATAAATGGAAAGATGTCTCCAAGGAAATATCTTAATGTTATTAGTCTAATCAATAAACCAATTGCAGATGGTTCTATAAACATCCCTAAAAATATGTCCAAGTGAGTATTAAAATTTATTTTTGTAAGGATTAAGCTAAAATAATAATGGAAAGAACTTTGTATGAGTAGGGAATAGTGGAGAAAATAATTGGATAAAGGTGTATCTTTATTGCCACGGAGGAAAAAGTTGTGGTGGAAGGAAGTTCCCTGCACTATTCAGAGAATTTGGACTTTGCTTTTGGCCCATGAATGAATACAGCATCTCCCTAAAGATAAATGGAAAAAGCGGCACAAGGAACACAGTATCATAGACCATTATTCTTTGAAATTATTCTTCAGCACTCCTTTGATGTACTATGTCTACTTCTTAACAGCTTTTGTCCAACCTGCAATGACTATGGAACCACTTCAAACAATAACTTTTGTGGGGAATCACAACGTCTGTCCTTTCTCCCGATGTTACTTCTGTCCAATGGTTCAGATATTTCTGCACGCTTCTCAACAATTTGTCATTATATCCCTTTTGTAATTATTTTACAATTAGGCTTCTCTTTTGTATGTGTGGAGTCTTGTACAGAGTTACTAGTTCTTCACAAAGATGACTTTAAAAAGTAAGCTAATTTATATGTAGGCATCATCCTTAGTTTCCTTATATCGAATTATAAATATTAGACAAGATTCCTTGTTTGAAAGCTGTGTAATTATATTGAAGAACACTATAAGATTGTATTTGGATGGCAATAGTAGGTATTCACTCTAAATACATTTTCAGAGCTGCCTGCATATGTTTTTACAAAGTTGATAGCAAAGGTTTAATAAAATTCATTTGACAACACATTGTCCTTTTTCTCTTACAATATAATAACCCTGACATTTTTGTTGTCACTTTCAAATTGAGTTTCTATGTCCCTGGAGGCATCTCCATATGATGCTCTGAGAAGCTGATGTCACTGACAGGAGGTTATTTCTCCCAAGGAGGCTGAAGATCACTTTGGATGAAGTGTTAAGTGGATGCCTCCCAGGCTGGAAAGACAAGAAAAATGGGTCAAAGATGGCGGATAAGTTTTGCTTTCTTTTATCCCTAGGAGGGACATCTAAGGTTATGACGCTCACAGCATCTGCCTTTTTCCATGTCATACCTGAGCATTCGAGGATCCCAGAGCCTTCGTGGCACCCAGCAGGTAGCCGGTGGAGTCTCATGCCAGCCTCATCACCCCTGTTTGTAACTGTCTCAGCTTGCATTGGATGAAGGTGCATTTTATATTTTGGGTATTTCTTAAACTCAAGTTTCCTAGAACTGCAAAAGTACCTGATGCCAAGCAGGCACAGCCTCAGGGAGACCCATTTGCTGGACAGCAATTGGATTCAGGCTGGGTATTTAGAATTTAAGGACTTAAGAACATGTAGCCACGGCCAAAAAGAGTACTATGAAAGCTTTTGTTTTAGGTATAATACTTGTTCTAAAAACTGTTCCTGCTAACTCAAAGTTTTATTTCCTTCCGTTGGTCTTAAAATGTATTTATCAAAATCACTCTCAAAGTATCATCATCATATATATATTTTTTGAAATGGAGTCTCGCTCTGTCACCCAGGCTGGAGGGCAGTGGCGTGATCTCAGCTCACTGCAACCTCCACCTCCCAGGTTAAAGCAATTCTCCTGCCTCAGCCACCCTAGTAGCTGGGATTACAGGTGTGCACCACCACACCCAGCTAATTTTTGTATTTTTAGTAGAGACAGGGTTTCACCATGTTGACTAGGCTGGTCTTGAACACCTGACTTCAGATGGTATGCCCACCTCGGCCTCCCAAAGTGCTGGGATTACAGGCATGAGCCACTGCTCCCAGCCATATCATCATATAAATAATCAGTTGTAATAATGTTGACTAATAACCATATTCTCTAACTTATGAATGCTTTACATAAATTATCAAAAGCCTACAAATCTGTGTTATTATGATTCCAATTGTACATATCAAAATTTCAAGTCACAGAGAGGTTACCCAAGACCACACAATAATCCAGACTCACTTTAACTAATTAGATGGGAAAATGCTTTTATTGGACACCTGGGGACTCACACTTTGATGAAACCTGAGGAACAGGAGTGGAAGACGCAGAGATCAAGAGCATTCCGGGGTTTGTGAGCAAAGAAGACAAGAACCGTCGTGAGACAGAAGCCACCTCCACAGCTCTGATGGGGACCTGCTGATGCCACATCACTTGGTCCATGCCTGGAATTCTCCCTGAAACACATAGGATTGGCCAAGTTTGGTCAGTCATCTCTGCTCAGAAGGGGAGATGAAATTTCTGTTTTCTTTAACTTTTAACCCCCATGCTATCATCTCTACTGTGCAAATATGAAAACTTTGGCTTAGAATAAACTGGTTCAAGGGGACAGACCTAATTAACAGCAGAATGAAGATTCACTCATGACAGGCTGAATCCTCATCCATGTGTTTATTTCTATCATTTTCCCAATTCAATGGCGGATTTGTGTTTTCTCCTTCATTAATAGTTTAAAGCAAAGCGATGTTCTTCCAAAAAAGAAAATGCAAATGTAGCAATGGCCCACATTTGTCATTAACTGAGAGGTGTATCTCATAACACCACCCTATGTAGGCTTGTAGCTACTTGTCAACAAAGGGCCTGGAATTAATTTATTCCTTGAGGAGCGTTCTTATTCCCTTGACATTTTGTTCTTCTGTCTGCACCTCTGGGCACTTTCTTTGAATTCTCAGGAGCACAACTTTCTAAGTCACTCAAGCTGACATCCTTCATGAGCTGCCAAAGGCAGAGAAATAAACGCTTTTACTACTGAGGGGTCTGACACTGTGCTTTTTGAAGAAAAGCAAAGCTTTACATTGTATGGAAGTAAAAGCAAATCACTTTGTGTAGGAAAAAAATTCCTCAGAAAAAAGGAATAAAAATGCAATGTTAACAACTCCATTTTATGGATTTCAAACTTGACCCATTTAGCCATTGTGTATAATAAGAGATATAACAAAGAGACCTGTTTAGCAGTGAAATTGAGTATCAAATGTTTAACCCCGCTTTGAAATGGAGTATTTTTTTTCAATGTTACTAAAAACAAACGTGATTGTTAGTTGGATCAGCTAAATACAGCTTCTCAGAAACAAACAATTTAATTATTTCAGGCAAAATAAAATTTTATGAAACAGTATTATTCTATAATTTTTAAATGTAAGTTAAATAAATGAATTCTATACAAATTATTTACAAATAAAAAAACCATGTTGCTCAAAAAGTGCAGTTATTACATTCTCAATTTCCTAGATATTGGTGGTAGAGGATAGAGGACAGAAATATCTGGTTCAGAATTATAAAATTATTTGTAAAGTCCGAGAGTGAGTTTGTTCATTTTTATTTATGCTAATCTAATTCATTTTTATAACAGTTTTAGATTTACAGAGAAATTGAGAAAGTGGGACCAGAGCTCCCGGTCCCCTGCACCTAGGCTCTCCCATGACCCGCATCTCTCATGAGTGAGGTGCATTCGTCTCAATGAACCAATATTGAGACATTAATGTTGACCAAAGTCTACACTTTATTCACAGGTATGTGAATTTCCCCTACTGTCCTTTTGTTAAGCGTTTGTAGCTAATCAGACACGAACGGGGCAGAAGGAGGGTCCAGACAGCCCACCAGGAAAGTCAGGTGACCATCAGGTGACGGTCAGGTGGTTGTCACACTGCCCTTTTAACATAATAATAGGTCACAGCCAGTGTCAGAGAATGGTGGTCTCCCTATGGACAGGAAACACCTGAAACTGGTGATCAGCAGCTGCCAGATAACATCTCAGGAGTGCAGCCAGTGGGCTCAAGCGTGTGCATTAAGAGGCAACGTGGCGGAGGATGACCTTCCAGGGGCATTTGGGTGCTGAGGGAAGAACGCCTCAAATGCACATGTGCGTGACTCAAGTAAACACACTGCACATGCGCTGCTCTGTGGTGCTGGCAGCCTCTGCGCATGTGGACAGCCCACCCCAACGGAAGAATCAGGGGAGAAGGGACGCAAGACCCTGGAAATATCCCAACGTATAAAACCCCAAGTCAGAGGTCAAACCGCGCACTTGTCCTTCAAGCCACCTATTTGGGCCTCTTCCAAATGTACTTTTCTTCCCTTCGTTCCTGCTCTAAAGCTTTTAAATAGACTCTCACTCCTGCTCTAAAACTTGCCTTGGTCTCTCCTTCTGCCTTATGCCCCCAGTCGAATTCTTTCTTCTGAGGAGGCAAGAATTGAGGTTGCTGCAGACTCGTGAGGATTCACCATCCGGAACACTTTTGCGGCTCCAGGGTCCCATTCAGGATCCCACATGACATTTAGTTGTCATGTCCCCTTAGGCTGCTCTTGGCTGTGACAGTTTCTCAGACTTGACTTGATTTTGGTAATCTTGACAGTTTTGAGCGGGACTGGTTGTATATTTTGTCCGATGCCTCTTTGCTGAAATGGAATTTATGTTTTCTTCATGATTTGACTTGGGTTATGGGGCACTGTAGGAACAGCACATAGAAAAGGGGCCATTCTCCTCACATAGCAGAGGCCACGTGCTCACGCGTTCATCACTGTTTTTGCTGACCTCCATCGCCCGGACGAGCAGCACCTCTCAGGCTCTCACCCAAGGCTGTTCCTCCCCTCCCGCCTCCGGCTGCCCTGTGCCCCGGGAAGAAAGTCACTGTGAAGGGCCCATGCTCGGGAGCCGGGTTACGATTGCCCTTCTGGAGGACAGAGCCTCTGCGGAAATAACTTGGATTTTCTTATGCATGGGGGCTATATCTCTTGTCCCCTATTTATTTATTTATTCAATTATATCAGTGTGAACATATAAACACTATTTTATACTTTGGGTTATAAACCAATACTACCTCATCCTGTTGCTCAAAGTGGCTCAGCTTTGGCCATCAGGAGCTCTTCTAGCTGACTCTTTATCCTTTGACATCCCCATCAGTGTGTGTGTGTGTGTGCACATGCATATATGTGCACATGTGTGCATGCCTGTGGATGAGCATGTATTTCTGTGTGTTTGTGTATGTGTGCATGTGCATGTATGTGTTACGCATGTGTATGCATGTGTGTGTGTCTAAGTGTGTCTGATTATGTGTGTGTGTGTATGTGTTCAGCCCTATCTTTCCTTCTGGCACTACAAGATGCTCTAGGTTAAGCCTGCATATTTCTTGTCCTGGTTCTAGAATCAGCCATTACCCTAAAACTTCCTGCCTACTTTACTGGGGATTGGTATTAGAAACCAAGATCTGGGCACTGGGTGTGCTTGTCTCCCTTGAGTGTCTTTGCTTCTAGGCCTTCTCAGCCAACAGAGCAAAGGTTCATGTATGTACATTGATCATATTATAAGTCACACACAAACGAGTGAACATTTCTCTCTGTACCTGTGAGTGTCTATATTAAGCACAGGTAGGTCCATCCTGGTGTCTCCAGCTCTGCTCCATCACCCCATGGATTGCTCTCCTGCCTCATCCTCATTCCTGCAGTGAGAAACCTGCCTTCCCCACCCACCGTCCCATCATTGAATTCCTCAGTTCCAGTTAAACCCGCTGTGATGAGCAATCTCATGTCGCACAACATTATCAACTAGAGTACGCTTATTCTGTGTACTTTTCACCTTTAGTTTTACAGACTCTATTTTTTCTGAAAATTACAGCATTTTCTACCTGTTCTCTATTTTTGTTTTTAACTTAAAAAAATTTCTGTAACTTCCAGTTGAAATGTCATTGTAGGTCCATAAGCAAGGTCACTGCCTGTTCCAAACAAACATTACACGTTGACATTAAAATAAACTTGTCTTAAAGAAGCATTATACTTTGAGAGGTGAAAGAAAGTGGGCAGAGACTTTGTCAGGATCTGGGAGCTGGATTTGGAATATCCCTCAAACCTCCACAGACTGTGAAGTGCATTTCTAAGACCAGGTTTTGAGCTTGAACATGAGAGGGCTGAGTGAGAGATTTAAACACAAACAAACTGCTAGGGAAAGAAGAAACACAAAAGATAAAGCAAAGGAAGTTGAAGCAAGGGGACAAGACTTAGAAGAGAAATAATGCCACTGTGGTTACAAAAATCAACAAATAATATTGAATAAATTCAAAATTACTTTAAAAAGTGCTTAGCATACTAAAATAGGTAAAACACTTTAAACTACACAAACAGGAAATAATCACACAGAACAAAAGGGCAGACATAAATGCAGAAGAGCATGAAAAGTAGTCTTTTATAAATCTGGAAACTAGAAAGTATAGATGGAAAACAACATTAACTCAATAAATGACATCAAAAGAGAAATTACTGAATTTGAATATAATATGAGGAATTCCAATGAAGTAAATGCATTCGTATTGAAATATACCAACTTTTTATCTTTTTATCAATTGTTTCTTCTCAAAATTTTAATCATAGTTATTTTTAAGTCTTTCCCTGTTAACTGTTTCTTTCCGCATCTAGTATGAAAACCAAAAATAAAATTCTAAGGCCCCCTAACCATCTGAGTGGACCCCTCCGCTTGGCCAAGGGCATTCCAAAGTTAATCTGAAAAAATAGTTTAGCCATGAAGGAAGAGAGGGTCAGACATGCCTCATTATACTCCCTTTTGAAATCCAGGAAAAGCTGACCAGCATTAACATCAATACGGATATTAAGTCTGGTAAGAAACATTTACAACCTATTCTCTCTGAAGCCTGCTACCTGGAGGCTTCATCTGTCTGCCTGATAAAACCTGGGTCTCCACAACCCCTTATAACCCAGACATTCCTTTCTACTGATAATAACTCTTCCAAGCAATTGTCAATCAGAAAATTTTAAAATCCAATCATGACCTGGAAGTTCCCCCACTTCAAGTTGTTCTACCCTTCCAGATGGAACCAATGTACATCTTCCATGTATTTGACTGATATCTCATGTCTCCCAAAATGTCTAAAATAAAATGAGGCTGTACCCTGATCACTTTGGGGACATCTTCTCAGGATCTCCTGTGGGCTGTGTCATAGGCCATTCTCAGATTTGGCTCAGGCCTGTCATCCCAGCACTTTGGGAGGCCAAGATACCTTTTTCTTATTTGTTTATTAAACAAAACATGTTATTCTTTTTGGCAAAGTGCCCTATGAAATAGCATTTAAAATAGAGTCTTTCTCTAAGGTGGAGTTCATTGTGTCAAGGGTGCCCTGAAGCTCTCGGGGGTGCTAGAAATTGAATGTATATTGCTCTGCATGGTGTACATGAGTGTGCACATAAAAATGGATTTGTCTGTACTCTGAAGATTTGTGTTCCATGCTGGCTGTATCACATCTTATTTTAATAATAATTAATGAACAGATAAATGAGAAGAAAATGTGCTTAATAATTTACAATAAACTTTTCCTATTTGTCAATGGCATTGGTATCAGTAAATAATTCAATTGTAATTAGACACACAACATTTGTATTAGAAAGACCACAAAATGGAATGACACCTGGAAGGAATGTTTTTCGTGTCCTCAGAAAACAATAACAAAAAATCATTTCAAACTGCAAATTAATTATCTGAGTTCCTACGAATGAATGATTATCAAATCATAAGAATACAATTGCATATCCTGACATAAACAGGGTAGCTTTTTTACAAATCATTTTAATTTTTCTCCTGGAAAGTACACATACAAATGAGAATAACAGTGACAGCAAAACAAACCTGTGTATTCAACTGAGTGAGAGAGGGAGGAAGCTCAAACCTCTGTGTGTGTGTAATTGTTTCCCAAAGAGCAAAGCTGGCAGGACACATGCAGTAACGGAGAGGGACGCCTGGAGGGGAACGAGACCTGGGACGGGGCAGTGGTGCCCAATCCTACACAGTTCT
Organism: Homo sapiens; assembly: GCF_000001405.40. Taxonomy (NCBI): domain Eukaryota; kingdom Metazoa; phylum Chordata; class Mammalia; order Primates; family Hominidae; genus Homo; species Homo sapiens. The sequence goes on along the minus strand of NC_000010.11, from coordinate 2,101,740 downwards.
GGTATAGGGCAGGGGAGCCCCAAAGTGGGCAGAGCCTGGGAGGGTTCTGGGCTTCCTTCAGGAAAGAATGCAGGGGCAAACTGGTGGTAGAGTGAAAGGTAGAGTACAGCTTTCTTAAAGAGGCAGCGTTACAGCTCTGATGACAGTACAGCTAGTGACTGCTCCTGCAAGGCTACCCCACGGACAGAGAGCAGCAGCTCAGGGCAGGGCCACAGTCCTATTTATACCCACTTTCGATAACGTGCAGATCGGGGCTGGTTTAGGCAGAAATCTCTAGGGAAGGGGTAGTCCTTTTGGGGTCCCTGGGTCATCCCGAGTATTGCCCTGGTGATGGTGAACTGACAGGGTGCGCTGGTGGACGTGCTGTTGGAAAGCTGTTTTTGTCTCAGCCCTGTGTTAGATGGTCCTCAGTTTGGTCCTGTGTCCGAACCCCACCTCTGGAGTTGGTCCTGCCTCATATCTCAGCATCAGGAAGTGTTCATTCCCAGAGGCAAGGATCCCACTTCCTGGAGGAACTGCTGGGTATTGTGGTACACTGCGGATATGCTGATTAGAGAAAGGAGGCTGATTAGAGAATGGATATTTCCAGAATCAAGGAGGCTAGAGGGAGACCCTCAGGCACAGCAACCTTCTCTCCAGAACATGACTGGAGGGCAGCAGCCACCTTGGAGGAGATACTAGGGCCGGATGCAGAAACCCTCATGAATCGGGTGTGGCTACGAGAAACAGTGTCTCTGGAAACAGAAGCCCCCGGACAGAGAAGCCCCCGGTTACATAAATGAGTTTTTGCAACAGGAGTAAATATCTAAGGAAGCTGATGAGCTGAGAAATCTGGAAGTTCTTTCCATCACTGTCTCTCCATGACTGTGCTTCTCAGAGCAAGTTTAGGAAAATGAAACTTATTTATGTGTGAATTTTAAAAATAAATAAACGTAACTTCTACAAACGTGGTCTAGGACAGGCTTGTTCAATCTGCAGGCCACATGCAGCCCAGGACGACTTTAAATGTGGCCCAACACAAATTCATAAACTTTCTGAAAACATTATGAGATTTTACTGTGATTTTTTATTAGCTCATCAGCTATTGTTGGTGTTAATATATTTTATGTGTGGCCCAAGACGATTCTTCTTCTTCTGGTGCGGCCTAGGGAAGCCAAAAGATTGGACACGTCTGGGTTAGGACATTCTGTAAGAAAGAGGAGTAATGCTCCTTTATATATTAGAAACATGCAAAAAAAATCCACAGAGAAAATAAAATTACAATCCAACACTCCAACGTGAATTGAGAAAAACGTTATTATAACACAGTAAAAGTCAGACAAATACAGCACAATGTAGAAATGTAAGATCTAAGAAAGGACAGTTTGACAACAGGATTTGATGTCTGCACAATGTGGAAAGGTGAAATAAGGGCTGATGGTCTTAGAAAAAGTGTGGATAAAGGCAACATCATTTCAGGAATGAAGGCTGGACCTGAGAAGCTCAGGGAGGGGGTGAACCGTCACCACCACTACCAACCTCAGCCTCACAGTAAGTCCTGGGGGCTGGGATGGGAACGGTGGATGGACCCAAACAGTAGGGATCCCAGACAACAGATATACAAGAAAGCAAGCTGGTGCAATGGACAACTAATTTAAGTTATTCAAAAAGACAACCAGTGCAGGGAAACAGAATAACGATTTAATGTAAAATTCAAAATATATTCTTAAGATAGAAGGCTTAAATCTGCTTCCTGAAAGAGCACACCGTGGTCTACTGAGAACTGAGCAAAATAAATATGACCATTGAGCTTATGGATGTACAAAGTAGAAAAACTATGTGACAATTAAGAAAAAGACTTTTGAGGAGCAGACAAAAAGCTCACATAGAATTTGAGGGAGGGAAAATACATCTTTCGTCAAGTGTTGACAACCACCTTTGATGACAACTGCACAGGTGCTTGTGGAAAAGAGGTTGCAGTGAGGATCTCATACACAGGTAAGTACCTTTCAGCTCTAAAGGCTACGCCCATAGAGTGATCATCAAACAGGAAATTGAACATTGTTCTCAGGAATACCAAGCATTGCTCGGGAATACCAAACATTGCTCGTAGGAATACCGAACTTTGCTCGCAGGGATACCGAACTTTGCTCATAGGAATAACAAGCGTTGCAAACAAGAATACAAAACGTTGCTCCCAGGAATACCGAGCATTGCTCCCAGGAATACGGAACGTTGCTCCCAGGAATACCGAACGTTGCTCCCAGGAATACCGAATATTGCTCCCAGGAATACCAAAGTTTGCTCCCAGGAGTACCGAACGTTGCTCCCAGGACTATCGAGCATTGCTCACACAAGCCTTTTTGAGAAAATTGCTAGAGAAAGAACTGAAACCACCAAGTGAGGACAGGAGTTTTTAAGAAAATAAAATACTGCCAATGAGCACTAAATAGGCCTAAGGTCAGCCTCAAACAAAAGCAAAGGAGAAAATGAGTGGAATTACGACCATTTCATTGTATTTTCCAGCGGTGCAATTAGGCAACAAAAATTGGGAGAAGAGGTAAAGAGAGATTTTTTAAGATGAGTTAGTTCACGTATTTCTTATTCTGAAAATAATTATTCTCATGCAGTAACAATGCAATCACACGAAACACAACAAATACTGTACAATAATGTAAAATTATAATGATTTTAATAATAAATATCACTACTTAAATCCTATATAAAATATGAGCAAACAGGACCCAGCATTAAAGTAACAATACATCACAACCATGTGAGATTTAGTCCAGCAGTGGAAAGATAATGTGATGTTAATACATTCCTCATATTAATAGAACTAAGAAGAAATACAGCATGATGCTTATCATGCAATTAATAACAATTCATGACTATACTTAGAGAAAGTGCTCAACATAGAAGGCTGTGGATATAATAGAAATGGAATTAAATACATTTGTTTTGCCCCCAAATAATATCATCAAGCTTTATGAATTAAAATTTAAAACATTTCTTCTAAAATCATAGACAAAACAGACATTTCCAGTATTATCATTATTTAATGAAATAAGAGAAGCAGACAGGAGAAAAAGCATGATGTAGTAATTCCCATTTAAGGGAATTTATCATGTAGAAATTCTTGCACCTGCACTGTGACAGTTCTTTTTAGGCGTCAACTTGAAGGCTATTTTTGAATGGGATTAGCATTTATTTATTTATTTATTTATTTATTTTATTTTATTTTTGCAGATCACTACTAATTACATAGAAGCTACTAGCCAAAGCCAAAATCAATGAGGTTCATACAAATAAGAATCAAATGCCATATTCAAAGCTGTAAGAGGATATCCTCATGCCCAAGCGATGAAGGCTGGGGTGAGTACGTCTGAACATTTTATTTCAAGTTGTTAAAGAGCTTTGGGGCCGCACAATCGTCCCTTGCATCCAGGAAGTCAAAGAGCTCCTACGTGCAATCCTCCCCTGTGTGTGATGGAGAGATACAGGCTCATGGCAAATTTGCGTGTCGTCCTTGTGCAGGGGCCATGTTAATGTTCTTTGTGTTCTTTTGACCTTACTGCATATGCTGCTGAAGCCAACCCGAGATGAACGTTTAAATCAGTGAACGCTGAGTCAGCAGATTGCTCCACTAATGGGGGTGGGCCTCATCCTATCAGTTAAAATCTTGAATAGAACGAAGACTGACATCCCCGGAGCAAGAAAACTTCCCCAGCAGAAGGCACTCAGAGGACACCGCAGCCCAGGCTCCCCTGCAGCCCAAGCTGGATATTGCCAACTCCCCAGGTTCCACAATCACATGAGCCAATTCCTTGTCATCTCTGTCACCTATCTATCTACCTATCATCTACCTATCTACTACCTGTCTATTACTTAGCTTTCTATCTACCCACCATCTATCCACCTGTCACCCACCCTATCATCCATTGATTATCCATCATCTATCTATCTATCTATCTATCTATCTATCTATCTATCTATCTACTACCTGTCTACCATTTAGCTTTCTATCTACCTACCATCTATCCACCCGCCATCCATCTCTGTCATCCAATGATTATGTATCTATCCATCTGTCATCTACCTATCTACCACCTGTGTATCATTTAGCTTTCTATCTACCTATCATCTACCCTCCTGTCATCCATCTCTATCATCCATCAATTATCTATCTATCTATCTATCATCTATCTCTCTACTACCTGTATATTACTTACCTTTCTATCTACCTATCGTCTATCCGCCTGCTATCTGTCTCTATCATCCATTGATTATCCATCTATTTTCTATCCTTCTATCTATCTATCTATCATCTATCTACTACCTATCATTTAGCTTTCTATCTACCTATCATCTATCCACCTGTCATCTATCTCTATCATCCATCAAACATATATCTATCTGTCTATCCATCTATCGTCTATCTACTCGCTATTATTTAGCTTTCTATCTACCTATCATCTATACACCTGCCATCTATCTCTATCATCCTTTGATTATCCATCAATTATCTATTTATCTATCTATCTATCTATCTATCTATCTATCTATCTATCTATCTATCCTCTATCTACTATCGGTCTATCATTTAGCTTTCTATCTTCCTGTCATCTATCCACCTGTCATCTGTCTATCTACCGATCATCCACCATCTATCATCTACATCTCTCTACCTGTCATCTATCTATCCTCTATCTATTCATGTGCATTATTTTGGTTCTGTTTCTCAGAGAAATACAAATTAACACACATTAAACGGCAGATGTACAGGATTGCATATTGCTGGATTCTATTAGAAATAACCGAATGCCATCAGCAGGGGTCTGTATAGTCAGCCCCTGGCAAGCCCGGTGGCCCAGCCTGTGCAGCAGAGGCCCTGGGGTCCAGCAGGTACTGCTGCCTCCCTGTGCTTCTGTCTGGCTGGCTGTGCTGTGCTGGAGGGGTTGGAGGAGGCTGGAGGCTCCCAGCACAAGCACCTGCTGGGGCTTTCTCCTGAACCTTGGAAGGCAGCTCCGCCCAGGCACAGGCACATGGAGAGGTGGGGGACACGTATCCCCTTTCTGAAGGATAGCCTTCCATCAAGAGGGAACAGGACTCTGGGAAACAGGGTCCAGCTCCTGCCCTTTGGGGCCATAGCTGAGGTTCGTGCTGCTGGGTTTGCAGCGGGACACCTGGGGCTGCTTTCTAGGGTCTATGCTGGCAATTGGCTCATACTGCGGAGTTTTAGTGACTTACCCCTTCCTGCCCTTCTCTCAGATTCCTCCCAGATACAGCCTGGGCATCCAGTCTTGTCTCCAACTTTGCTTCCCTGAGAACCCATATAAGACATCATGGAATGGTTTAAAAGGATTGGGGAGCTCTCTGTGTGCAGATGTGGGTATATTTTTCAGTGAAAAAAAGAAATGCCCAACCCAGGACAAATGTGCTGTTTGGGAAGAAACGTGTCCACTTACGCTGTTGTACTCTTCTGGAGCTGCTTGAGGAAACTTGGAAAGTGTGTGTAAGAAACTAACAGAGGAGTGGCTGGGCACGTTGGCTCACAACTGTAATCCCAGCACTTTGGGAGGCCGAGGCGGGCGGATCACATGACATCAGGAGTTTGAGACAAACCTGGCCAACCTGGTGAAACCCTGTCTCTACTAAAAATATGAAAACTAGCCAGGTGTGGTGGTACATGCCTGTAATCCCAGCTACTCATGAGGCTGAGGCTGGAGAATTGCTTGAACCCAGGAGACCGAGGTTGCAGTGAGCCAAGATCGCACCACTGCACTCCAGCCTGGGAGACAGAGTGAGGCTCCACCTCAAAAACAAAACAAACAAACACACAAAAAATTAACAGAGGACAGGGCACAGGGCTTGAGGGTGGTCATTTGCTCAGGCTGTGTAACCAAACACTGCAACATGGGGCACTCAAACAACATGAATTTTTTCTTTCTAGGTTCTAGAAGCTGGAAGTCTAAAAGCAAGGTATCCCAGGGTGGGTCCCAGTCCCTCCCTGACCTCTCGGGGCTTGCAGGCAGCCATCCTCTCTCTGTCCCTCCACGTGGGATTCTTCCTTTGCAGCCGCCTGTGTTCTAATTTCCCCTTAATATAAGACACAGGTTGGTTATGTTGGATTGGGACCTACCCATATTATTTCATTTTACGTTAATCACTGCTGTAAAGACCCTGTCTCCAAACACAGTCACATTCTGGGTCGTGTTAGGACTTCGACTTATGAATTTTGGGGGGCATAATTCAGTCACAACAGTGGAGATGAAAATATGACTTCTAAATTCTTACCTTTTTATATTTTGATTTTTAAAGCATATATGTATTTCTGGGTAAACTATCACACTGAGGAAATAATATTAATATAGAAAAGGAATTATTGCATGCTATGGAAAGCATGCTTCTCTTTCATCTACTTTATCTGTTTTCACATCTTTATCAGAAATTCTGAAAGCATAACACTATGGCTGAAAGTCATTCTTCTGGTTGAATTTCCCATGTGGACAGCCTGACCTTGCCGTCCCCCAACCTCTCTTCCAGAGCCGTTATCCCAAAATGCCAGTGGCAGCCATTGCTGTGCTTCTGCCAGAGGCTTCCTCTAGCTGCAGGAAGCCACTGGGCTCAGGAAGGAGAACACACACAGTGTTTTAAGGACATCTCTCTTTAGTCCTCAGGATAACAGGGCAGGGGTTACTTGTGGCCTCTTGTTCTTACTTCCACTTGATTGCAATTCAGAGACCACAGAGTTCCCAAAATTATGAACACCCTTATGGGCAGAAAAGCGTTGCTATGTCAGGAAGGGTGATGAAGACTGATCATCATGCAGAAATTGGTTTCTTGCTACTTTGTGGGGACAGGAAGGAAATTCTGTGTCTGAAACTCAAGGGGTCCTCTAGGATCTTTGCATTGGCTGCTTCACTCACAATGACCCCTGTCAACAGGGGATTGCAATGGCTGCTGTCTGACCCAGGCACCGTAACCAGAGCCTCACTCCTCCTGAGATATGCTGATCTTACTGACCCCCCTGGCAAACAATAAAGACCAATGAACCTGCTGCTGGGGTTGAGGGACCTGGAGCAGCAGATGGGACTGAGGATGAAAGTGAATTGCAAGTATGGAGCCAGGGCCAGGGCCGTGGGAAGGATCATTTTTATTCTGTGAATCAGCCTCTTTCATTGCCTTTTTAGCTAAAGTAATTGTAACTTTCTGCCTCTTTAAACAATCAGTAGCAAGACAGATTGAATATAATGTAGGGCAAGAGCCTCTCCACCTGCAGACCTCATTGCTCTGTGCACCTATTGGCTTCTACCCTCTGCACTGGGACCTGCAGTCCTGCCGGAGGGATATCTCTGGCTGCAGGAAATCCTTGGCCTGCCAAAAGTCCCAGAGAGCTACAGCCCCAAGATGCAGCCCTCACAAATGACAGATGGAACTTAATAGAAAATCACTTCCACTCCCTTGCTCCTACAGTAAGTCACGAGAGTCCTTACCTCTGGGGGTTATTAACCGATGCGAGGGGCCATGCAGGAGCGCCCCAGGGCTCTGAAGCAACCTGTATCATGATCCGGATGGTGGCTGCTTGAGCAGACTCGTGGGGCACAATTCATTGAGCTCTACAATGAATATTTTTGCAGCTTTCTGTGTGTATGTTATACTCAATCATTTTAAATTTTAAAAATATACATAGGATTCTAATTCATAATACAGAAATTGAATAAACCCAAAGACTATTCCCACAATGTACACAGAATCCTGTGGAAATAAATGCATGGAAAATAAAGGGGCACCTTTATAATATAAGGAGAAATAAAGTGGAAATTCAGTTCTGGCATCAGGTGGTGGCTGGGACTCAGTGGAGGATGAGATTCAGGAGGAGAGGAGCAGATCGCTCCAAATCTGTTTTGAAAGATCTTCAGTGGGGGGGTCCCTGATCCTGCTCAAGAACAATGGAGAAAGGCGGAAGAAATGTTAGTAGTCAGCAACCTAGGGCCATATCAGAAGGTTTACTCGCTGGCTGAAGAATGGTCACCAATGAAGGGAGTAGGGCTTCATGGTGAGAGGTCACTGGGCTGGGTAGGCCACAGTGTCATCCATCCTAGATGCAGAGTTCTTAAAAGGATGGCTGACTTCTGAAGGCAACCCCAGTCACCTTCAGCAGAAACGTGGCTTTTGAGCTCCCTGTGGTCATTGCACACAGCAATAGATGGCAGTTCTCAACAAACACTTTGTGCAGGGTAGATATTTATTGTTTTTTTTTTCTTTTGAGCAGAGGAAATTTAATGCTTAATTTTTCAACAAACATATGCTTTAATTTTTAGTTCATTGCTTCCCAAAGGGCTTATTAAGGAAATCATTGTAGATTTAAACCATGTGACAAACAGCAGCACTGCTGGTTGGGAATATCAATGACTCCATAAACTCTTGATGGCAAGAGGAGCTGAGCTTCTTCTCACCTGTCTTTTAAATACAGCACACCTATAATTTCCTGGTTTCCTGCAACTTGCTGGATGCATTTCACAGGCTTCATATGGACCAAGCATACGTGTGACCAGCAGCAGCTCCAACAGTCACTGTAGGCAGGCAGTGTCCGACACCAGGTGTATTAGTCTGTTCTCACACTGCTAATAAAGACATATGCAAGACTGGGTAAATTATAAAGGAAAGAGGTTTAATGGAGTCACAGTTCCATGTGGCTGGGAAGGTCTCACAGTCATGGCAGAAGGTGAATGAGGGGCAAAGTTGCCCCTTACAAGGTAGCAGGCCAGACAATATGTGCAGGGGAACTCCCCTTTTTAAAACCATCAGATCTCATGAGACTTATTCACTATCACGAGAACAGCATGGGAAAGACCCGCCTCCATGATTCAATTACCTTTGACTGGGTTCCTCCCACAACACGTGGGGATTATGGGAGCTACAGTTCAAGATGAGATTTGGGTGGGGACACAGCCCAACCAGATCACCAGGGACCTGACACACCCAGTGTCGCTTGCTCTTTCTCCCGTTACTGAATAGTGAGTTGCTGCTCCTGGAGGTGTGGGGTTGGTTACACTGGGGAAGGGAGGGAAGAACTACTAACGCCGATTTTCCAGATGCAGGCAGGTATGAGAGTGGCACCTCTCTTCTCAGGGGAAACTGGAACCAGCAAGTGGAAATCTACTGCCTCTATCCTGCCTTATTTAAAACACCACTTGGTTAAAATTAATAATAATTTAAAAATGGAGCAAATCCCAAACCAGAAAAGATGTAAGGCAATAGGCAGAAATAAGGATGTATGGTTATCCTACATAGCCATTCATTTTTTAGGATTATGGAGATCGGCAACAAGGACATAGAGTTATCCCATGTGTCTATCTATTATTTAGGGTTATGGAGATCAGTAACAGAGATATAAGGTGATCCCGCCTGTCCGTCTATTATTTAGGGTTATGGAGATCGGTAACGGGGATATAGGGTGATCCTACCTGTCTGTCTATTATTTAGAGTTATGGAGATCACTAACTCAAGACTCATCAAGACATTGTGAAAAGAAAGTCCTCTTATAACAGAGCTAGTGAAAGACAGTGTGTGCATTTTCGGACTCTTTAAACATCTAAATGTTTCCATATATAAAAAGTGTGTGCATATAAAGTGTGTACACACATGCATGGTACAGTTCTAGTAATGAGATCATAATTATTGTTCGCTAACTTATCTGGGTTTCAGATTATGACAGCTTATGAACTTATGACATTTTAGCTAAATTAACAAAACCATGAAAGGAGATCTGAAGAAAGACCCAGGAGGGCATGCCAGCTCTATATTCTGCTTGCCCTACTACCGCCTCTTACAGTCTCTCATGCAGAATGAACCCTACTCCAAAACAATTTCCATATGTGGCTTTATGGAAATAAATCTTGCTTCTCAAGGAAAAAGATAAAGTACTTCATTTCTTTTATAAAGTTGCATGTTTAGCAAAATGCTTTTTCACAGTGAGCGGTCAATAAACACTTCCCCAAGTGAGCTGTGTGGCTTCTCCCAGCTGATGAAGACCTACTCATAGCTCCCTTTCCTATTCGAGAGCTACTCAGAGATCAGAAAGAGAATCTCATATGTAAATGAAGCATTAGCTTTAAAAAGTCAGGGGTTAAAATGCATTTAACTAGTTGCTTTGCTAAATTTCAAAACCTTAATGCTATCTGTTCCTTGTGAAAATAAAAGAAGAAACTGATGAGTAGAAAATAGATTACTTTAATATGTCATACTTTAAGATGCTGAAATTACCACCAGTTAGTAGTAACTGTAAATGACAGGAAATGTCACATACATTTATAATTTTTAGCTTGCTTTGAGATCAAAACTTCATTATTCCTTTTTTTTTTTTTTTTTTTTGAGATGGGGTCTTGCTCTGTCGCCCAGGCTGGAGTGCAGTGGCATGATTTCAGCTCACTACAACTTCCGCCTCCTGGGTTCAAGCAATTCTCCTGCCTCAGCCTCCCGAGTAACTGGGATTACAGACACCCGCCATCGTTCCCAGATAATTGTTGTATTTTTGTAGACATGGGGTTTCACCATGTTGGCCAGTCTGGTCTTGAATTCCTGATCTCAGGTGATCTGACCTTCTCGGCCTCCCAAAGTGCTAGGATTACAGGGGTGAGCCACCACACCCAGCCAAAACTTCATTATTTTTAAGTGTCTCACAGACCATACATAAAATATTAAGGACAAAATTCTTTTCAAAAAGTTAAAATGATTGGAGTTACTCTTACTATTACAGTTTAATGAAACACTTTATTAATGATATTAATATGAGATATAAAATTTTTAATGTCTAGAAATGGCTTAGGGCAATGTTCATATATTTATTTCCTATGATGTTTTATGTTTTTCATTATTAAGGTTTACAATGATGATTGTAAATCGTTATTTACTTTAAGAAAATTTTAGAGTTAACAAAACATTACCCCAGAATATGTACTTCTTGAGTAAATTGCAATTAAAAAAATACATATATAAGCTATATGCATGTATGTGTGTATTCTATTGTTTCTTCTTTACATCTAAAACTAATTATATCAATTTAATGTTGTAAATTTTCTTCCTATCAGTGTAGAAGGCCAAGAAAATGTACAGTACTAGTGACTTTTTTCTCAGTGTTGCTATAAAAAATAAATTATCCTGAAATCTCACTGATGCAAACACAAAGTATAATTGCTTAAATGGACCAAATAAGACAGAACTATGAGAAGAACCTTATTTCAAAATGAACCTAATCCTCAGTAAAAGCAAAATACAAAACTAAACCTCCATAGTAATTAAAAAATTTGTTTCGACCAATGATTATACATTTTAATTTAAAGAGTTTGGAGTTCTTGCATTGTAGGTATACATAAAGGCTATACACTCCAAGACTTATTGTTTCCAATATTCACTTACTGAAAAATTCTCAAAAAAGATAATAATTTCTAGCAATAGGTGGAAAGAAAGGGGTCTGCCTTTTTTTTTATTTTTATTTTTTTTAGACAGAGTCTGGCTCTGTCGCCCAGGCTAGAGTGCAGTGGCACAATCTCTGCTCACTGCAAGCTGTGCCTCCCGGGTTCACGCCATTCTCCTGCCTCAGCCTCCCGAGTAGCTGGGACTACAGGTGCGTGCCACCACGCCCAGCTAATTCTTTTGTACTTTTAGTACAGATGGGGTTTCACCATGTTAGCCAGGATGGTCTCGAGCTCCTGACCTCGTGATCCGCCCGTCTTGGCCTCCCAAAGCACTGGGATTACAGGCGTGAGCCACCGCGCCCGGCCTGGCTTATATCTTTTGATCATTTTGGTGACACTTCAGGAGAAGACATTCACCATTTGTCCAGTCTCCATTAAATGCCATTTTCAAAATAAGAGCAAACCCTTGCTTATCTTCTGTGTTATAAAATTGCGTGTGGCTGATACAAAAAGCAAACAAAAGACATTCCCAAAGCAAAACCAAACAGAAATAAAAGAAAACATAACAGAAAAAAAAAATCCCACAAATCCTAGCTGCAGACCAGGTAGGAACGCTGCATAACCAGTCACAGAGATGTATGGTTAGTGAACACATAATTCGAGGGAGCTTTATTTTTCCCATGGGAAATGATTTGGGCCAAATGCACCAGATTCCAGCCAACCATCCCCAGATTCTATCATTTTCCTAATAGCACCTGGCCTGGGATTGGCTGCTACAGCCAAAGATTACAACTCTAAAACAGAAACAATTTCTACAAGGACAAAACAAGCATTCAAAGGGTGGGGAGATTGGTTGTTTAAAAAGATTTTAATAATACTGCTCCAGCTCTTCACATAATTGTAGCCTTACTATCCATGCCCCTATAGTTAAGCAAATGTCACATTTGTAAAACGAGGCTTTCTAAAGCCCAGTGGGGCATTTTATCATCCCTAATGTAGCACCACGATCACGCCTATTCCTCATTACTGTTCATACACACAGAAAAGCTATGTTGCACCAGATCTGAAGGTGTCATTACAGAGCAAATGACATTAATAGTCACCTGATAAAGTTTTCCCAAATAGTAGAGGATTGTATACTTTATAAACTGCACCTCCTAAAATTGAGTTACAGACCACATATGTCCAACCAAATGAAATATCATAGATAATGTATCTGTATTAACAGTTCAACCTTTAATTTTGTAGTTTGCTCATCTATGTATGAATTTCAAAAGGACACACAGATTTTAAATAATAAAATAATTTCACTCACTCGAATAATTGCAAGTATATCTTGTATTTTCTCTTTCCCTCTATTTCCCCAAACTGCAATCAATGAAATTTTTAAAAAATCACTGTGTGTAAGAATGCCAGAAAAACACTATGAGCCATCAAACCAAGGGTGTGTAATCTCAATATGGGGAGGACGGTAGAAATGCTGACAACACATTCAGTCTTAGAACAGGAAACCCTATGCCCTGTGATATGGTTTGGATCTGTGTCTCCATCCAAATCTCATGTTGAATTGTAATCCCCAGTGTTAGAGGTGGGAATTGGTGGGAGGTGATTGGCTCACAGGGGTGGTTTCTAATGGTTTAGCACCATCCTCCTAGTGCTATCTCTTTCTCACAATTTGTCATGAGATCTGGTTGTTTAAAATATGTGTCACGTTCCCCTTTGCTCTCTCTCTCCTGCTGGCCATGTGAAGATGTGTTTGTTTCCCTTTTGCAGTCCGCCATGATCGTAAGTTTCCTGAGGCCTTTCCTGCCATGGCTTCTGTATGGTCTGTGGAACTGTGAGTCAATTAAACCTCATTTCTTCATAAATTACCAAGTCTCAGGTAGTTCTTTATAGCAATGTGAAAACAGACTAATTCACCCCGCCATAAATATTCTCCTGGGAACATAGAATGAAAACACTCCAAATTTCATTGCTTCAGCAATGCACTGGTACACCTAAGGAAATTGTCATCAAAGGAACAGACCATAGAACACAAGCACCTTGGGAGGGCTCCACAGTCTCCTATCCTAACACACTTGCCCATTTCAACATTTTCAGAATGGGAAAAAATGTCTTTAGGGCACAGTTAATATCCTTGTCAAAGACTGAGAAAGTCTGTCAAGATGGTGCATGTCCTATGTAAGATGAGAATTTGTGAGACAGAAATTGTATGTTTGATGAGTTGAATTCCAAGTCTCCTTTTATCATATTTTGTGCAGAACATTCATTCAATGCAAGAGGATCATCAAATCCCTAGGTTTGGGACATAAACATTAACAAAAGGCACCATCTGTTCCTGAAGGAACTAATGGGATGGCTTAGTCAAGAAGAGGGACGTCAGCTACAGTGACAAAAATCCCCACGTCTCAGTGGACTCATGACAGAGGTGTATTTCCCTGTTTTGGTGCTTGTCCATGTGGATTGATGGAGACGTTTAGCTCACTAAGGACACTTAGGGACCCTGGCTGGGGACCATCTCAAGGCATGTTTTCCATTGTCCAGCAGGAGAAAAAAAGAAATATGGAAGATCTTCCCTAGCACTTAAAGTGACCCTTTGGAAAAAACATCTCTTATGCTTGCTCACATTTAATTGGCAAAGCAAGTCACATGGCTGCACCCAAATTCAGAGGTGGCAGAGTAGACGTAAAGTTGTCAGCAGCCCAAACAAGTAAGAGATGCCAACATTGGTTTCTAAGTCAACTGCAGAGGGCTCTCCCTTCCCCTATCCTCCTCCCTTCCTCTTCCCTCCCCTGCTCTCCTCCATTCCTCTCCCCTCCCTTCCTTCTCTCCTTCTCCATTTCCTCCTTCCCTTTCAAGCTACAAAGAAGACCACTTTTAAAAGCCAAAATATAAAAGTTAGAATGTAAATAGAAAAACTGAAATCATTTGTAATAGAATAGACAGTGTCCTGGATGCAGATGCCCTCTCCTTACCCAAGTCTGTCCTGAGGGCAAGGTTTACTGAGTGCATCCTTTACTGTTTTCTCCAGCTGTGATTGTGAGATCTGAATCTGAAAAGAAAAAACATCCAGTTACTTAGCCCTAAAAGATTATTTCAGGGACCGCCTGTAAATATTTCTTGCTATTGATTGGATTCTGTAATCCATTTATTTGGGGAGCTGATTTTGGCATCACCCTCATTTTTGTCACTCCTATTCTGGAAGGCTCTGTGGCCACAGCTGCCCCATCATTGCTGTGCTCACCACGCCCTCTGCAAGCCTATATGTCCCACAAGCACCACTGTGTGTCCTGTCCAGGTCTTTCAGAACCAGGTTCTCGTTCATGTTCAAAGCCTCCATTTACTATCTGATAAGAGTATAAAAACTGTTTTTATTTGAATCTGCAATGGCTGTGCAAAACCGCTTAACTATCTTTAGAATATGTGGTTATGGTTTAAGACAATCTAACCCTGTAAATGTTCAAGACTACGAGTCTCACTAAGTCATTTACTCAGATGCAGACTGTGGGAGGTTAATTAGCAATAAACTGATGGCATCCCATGCCTCCACTGGGAAAGAGGAAAATGTCAGAGATGAAGAGCTGTTTTTTTTCAAACTCTTAGAGGAAAAACAATTTTGAAAAATTTGAGTCCTAGAAAAGAGAAGAGTGCTCAGCAGAAAATAATTTCTCTAAGAGTCAAAAACTGAACCTGTGACTTCCAGAGTTCTGTTTCTTAGTAACAGTGACTAGGAAGGTTGTGCTGGTGTTATGTGTCAATACAGGTACTCTTTCGAAAACCACTAAGAATAAAGTGAGCTAGAAGCAAGTTAGATTCACTTGAGTGAGATTGAAAGGATATAATGCATTTTTTTGTTAATGAAGATCTTGGGGGAGAAAGTGGAAAAGAATGGAAAGGAGGTTGAGTGTGTGTCCTGTAAGCATAAATACTGACGCCAGAGCTACAGGTGTGTGTATGGGAGCCAAATTCTGCAAGCCCCGAAACCAGAATGCAGGCAAGACAGAACATAAGAGGATGTAATGGACTCATGTTAAAAAATAAGAGGTAATAAGTAAATGCCAGTGATAGGATAATAAATGTGTATAGATGGCAAGCTAGGAGGAGATGTTGCCATAGAAACAGAACTTAAGAAAAGAAAGAGTTGGAAACTCCTCTTGAAAATGGTAGAATGATTAGGCTAGAAAGGGTGCAGGTCACTAACACAGCCATCTTCATTTCACCACGCATATTTCCTGCACCTCCCGATAGCGGCACCATCCTCCCACACAGATGCTGTCACAGGAGGAAGAACAAACAACATAAAATAGAAGAAGAGAAGAAAAGGAAGACCATGGCACACAGATGATGCAAGGAGAGAGAAAAATTTATCCTGAAACAACCTAACTTTATGTCTGTAACTTAACAACTGCTACCTAATTTTTAGTAGAATAGTAATTTTATTTTATTTTTTAAATGGCATAAACCCACTGTAGATATTCAAGCAAGACAAATAACACAAGCAAGACACGATACATTATCCCCAATTTTAACACCAGAATTTGTATTAAGTAATTTTTATTAGGTAATTATTAATCAAGAAAATATCACTGTGTGTGTGTGTGTCTGTGTGTGTGTGTGTGTTTGCGTGCTTGAGTTTGTGTAAATCAAAATTTAAAGTCAGGTAGATAAATGATGTGAGAGACAAAGGAAGAGCCATTCTTCAATAATAAAAGGAATTGGAGTCTACATGGTATTTTAATATTTGATTTTAATCTTACTCGAATTCTGTATTATGACAAAAATTAACTTAAACCGAAAGCATAATTGAACTTTAAGGAAATGTTTCTTTCTAACAAGATATTTCCTAAGTTACCAATCTCAAGATAGAAGGAAGTGTAAGGAAAAACATAAAGATTATGGCCAGGCTGGTGGGTAACTGTAATCCCAGAACTTTGAAAGACCAAGGCAGGCGGATTACTTGAGCACAGGAGTTCGAGGCCAGCTTGGGCAACAAAGGGAGATTTTGTCTGTACAAAAAATTAAAAAATTAGCCTGATATTGTGGTGTGCACCTGTAGTCCAAGCTGCTTAGGAGGCCAAGATGAGAGAATGGCTTGAGCCCAAGAGGTTGAGGCTGTAATGTGCCGAGATCACGCCGCTGCACTCCAGCCTGGGTGACAGAGCAAGACCCCAACTCAAAAAAAAAGAAAATTAAAAATTAAAAAAAGAAGAAGTGTGAATTATATACATTGTAGTTATCGGTTTCTCTACATATGTGATTGTTGTAAGGGAAATTCAGGACATTGAACCCCTAAATCTTTCTCCCCTTCTCTGTAATTCCTGAATTCTTGGTTCTATTATTTTTTTTCCACTGCCGACATGTATGATATCTCTGTTATTTCTGTGACCAAAATGCCCTTAATTATCCAGGACAGCTTTATGTTTACGTGCTCAGTATTCATCTCTTTATCACAGTTTCTCTAATCTGAACTTGAGTTTTTCACTGCGTTTAATTGGCTGGGGTTTGTCATTGGGTTGGAGCTTCTGATGGAATCAGTGTGCCTTTTCCTGTGATTCTTTGTGGTTGAGAGGGGCTGCCTGCTTTGCTGAAACTTTGAACCTGGATGAAAACCCAGCTGGATGCAATATCCCTGCACAGTCATGTTTATTCCTCAGAATTACATGGGGGCTGATCGTGTCTTCTGGCATGGACTGCTGCTGGGAAACGTCGGACCTAAACCAACCCGCCCTCTCACATGCCAACACCACAGCTCAACGGAAACTTAGACCATTCAATCATTTACTAGGTTAGCCAAAAAAAAAAAGAAGAAGAAAGAAGAAGAAGAAGAAGAAGAAGAAGAAGAAGAAGAAGAAGAAGAAGAAGGAGGAGGAGGAGGAGAAGAAGAAGAAGAAAGAAGAAGAAGAAGAAGAAGAAGAAGAAGAAGAAGAAGAAGAAGAAGAAGAAGAAGAAGAAGAAGAAGAAGAAGAAGGAGGAGAAGGAGAAGAAGAAGACAGTCTCAGCAGCTTAAACAGCAGAAATATATTGTCTCACAGTCCTGGAGGCTGGAAGTCTAAGATCAAGGGGTGGCCAGGACTGGCTCCTCCCAGGGTCTCTCCTTGGCTTCCAGATGGCATCTTGTCCCTGTATCCTCACAGGGTCACCCTTCCGCATTTGTCTGTGTCCTAATCTCCTGTTTTTTATAAGGACACCAGTCACCTTGGATTAGGCCACCTCGACAGCCTCATTTTACTTTACTTCCTCTTTCAAGACATTAGCTCTGCACACAGTTTTTGAATGCAGTCACATTCTGAGATGCTAGAGGTTAGAGCTTCAACATATACACGTTGGGGTGGGGGGGGACACAGTTCCACCTGTACCAAGCAGCGCATGCAATTTCCAAAGGGTCCTGAATTTAGCCAGCGGAGAAGGACGTCTTGTGCGATGAGTTTGTCTGGGCCGAGCCTTGTCTGATCCATCTACTGCAGCATGTGGTTGGAGCTTACAGCAGAGTCCTCCACACCCAGACACCTGCTCGCCCAGAGCACATTCCTCCACATCCAGGCACCTGAACTCCCAGGGCAGATTCCTCCACACCCAGGCACCTGCGCGCCCAGGGCGGATTCCTCCACTCCCAGGCACCTGCGCGCCCAGGACGGATTCCTCCACGGCCAGGCACCCGTGCGCCCAGGGTGTCTGTCTTTCTCCTTGCTGGCAGCATCTCCCATTCTTTGCTATTGTGTTGATCAGATCTGCCATGGTGATCTTTAGGTCGTGCATGTGAATCTCTACGTTGTTTCATCATGTCATTTAAAAAATCTCTTCGTTACCTAACTCCATACTACGCTTACATTTTTATCTACCATGAACTGTCCTTGTGGATTTCATTCAAATTCTTGTTTTATTTTTTCTATTTTATGTAATGAATTAATTTTATTTTGCCTGCTTTCATTTTTTTCTTTGACTGTCTTTGATTCTTTTCTTACAGTGCGCTTATGTAATTGTCAAAAGACAATTTTCATATTTCCAAGCTTGGGCAGCTCTGTTCAGACCGTTCTTCACCCTCCTGCTTCAGGACTCATTTCACGTAGGCAACGCTGTCTAAAGTTCCCAAGGGATTGAAGTGGGTTGCCCTTGGCTTGAGCCATTTGTCCGGTTTAGTCGGAAGCCGTGGACTCTTCAGTTCAGCCACAGAGCGCCACTCCCACGGGTCCTCACCCTCTGGGTCCATCTCCCTCGGTCACTGTTTCCCCTACAACTCAACTCATCCGGAGAGAGGAAGGCAGGACGCTTGAGTCTTCTTCTCAGATTTGGGTCCATCTACATAAATTCTCAGATTATTTTTACTGTCTAGGGACTACATGGGCTTTTATTTTTTCTTTGGTTTGGACCAGTCTTAATTTCATTAGTGAGTTTTGGAGAAAACGTCTGTTTTGTACCTTTATTTCAACTCCATTCTGGGAAGCAAATAAACTACTATATTCTATCCTGTTTATACATACCACTTATTCCTCACAATGATCATATTTTATAGATATTATTATTATTATTTCGATTTACCAAATAAAAATAAGCCTTGTGGATTTTCCATAACTTACTCAAAGAAAATCATGAGGTAAATGAAAAAAAATAAAAACCTGGCTACTATGTTATCCTGAAACTTCTGAACTTAAACACAACATTAAGAACATTCTCTCTGAAAAAATGAAATTTAAATATATGGTGCTTTCTATTGTACATAGGAAGAATTTCTAGTGGATGCAATAAAGTTGTTTTCTTGCTCAGGTAATGAAGGGTAGTGTTAGCAGAATACTGATACTAATGTTATTTATAATAGTAATAGCAATACTCCATTTATTAAAATAACGATTCCATGTGGCAGAACTTGAATTGAACTTTTTAATATAAATAGTTGTTTGTTTCATGACTCAAATTTAAAACTAAAAATAAGAAAATGTTATTGTCATAATGACACCAACTTAACACACATTTTAGAATGTAAAATTTCACATTGGGACAAGAAATAGATTAAATAAATATACAAAATTCCATAATGGAGCCATTTTTTACACATTCTTAAATTACTCTAAAGATAGTATGAAATCATTAATTTCATAACTATGAAGAACAAAATCTTCATATTTCATAATCTTTACACAACTTGCTCAAATTATACTTTGTATATAAATTTATAAATTGTGTTTTATATTTCTCTCCTTTTATTTGCTACATACAAATTGTACGGGTGGGTTTTAAAAAGGTTTAATTCACTAATTAACTAACATTTACAAATACATAAAAACTGATGTTATTTACTCATTGTGCTACACATCCACACACACACACACACACACGATGGCTTATGAAACCACTTGTAAATCCCCGCAAAAAGTTCCTGTGTTTCAAAATAGAAAAATTATAATGCACTTGCAATTTTCCTGTTATGAATTGACTAATGCAGCATTCAAATAATTTTCACTTTTTGTTCTATGAATATTTAGGTCTCTGCATCAGCTATTTTGCTCTGTTCCCCAGGCCAGGCTCAGGCATACACCCTTGTCCAGCTGCCTGTCATCTGCATGAGTGTTCTAGGATGACCTGCTCTGAGCTGATCCAGCTGGGCTGCCTGTGGTCTCTCCTCCTGCGGCCAACTAACCAGAAGGAAGGGTTATCAGCAGAAGCAAGGCCCACAAGACAGCAAATGAAACCTGCAAGACAGCAAGCAGAAGAGAACGACCTCCAGGGGCCAGGCGGGGAAGTGACACAGAGACACTCAACCATTCTGCTGTCAAAGCAAGTTCAAGCCTGATTCACAGGTGAGAAAATAGAATCCCCCTTGGGACTGGAGGAGATGCTCCCATTGAAAAGGGTTCATCGATTATGGCTGTCAATGCGATTGATCCACTGTCACCCACCTCTGGCTTTAACTATTCAGTTTCTGTGTTGTAATCATATGCTTCCAAGACCTTCAAAAGTCCCATTTAATTACCATATCATGATGAAGCTTCAAGATCCTACCATCACCATCAGCCACCTCTCTGGGGGACAGAACAAGCTGATCTTAGCAGTGGGTGATCTCTGTGTTGTAGTCACCTTGAACGTACAATGGTGAGAGAGAATAACCACAATAAGGACCTCCACAGAAAGAAACACTTGCAAGGATGGAGCACAGAAGCACAGAGCAGTCACTGGTCTTTAGTAATTCTGAAATCCACAGGGCAAATGCTGGCACCTCCAGGAGAGAGCATTGCACTTTGATTTGGGCCTCATTGACCCCCAGAGTCATTCCTCAGTCCACTGGTCTGCATGGCTCCTGGGTTCACACTCTGAGATGTCCTTTCTTCTCCATCACCTTATGTGGCATCTGGATTTCTGAAGAAAGGAGCCATTTCAGTGGCTGGGTAGATTTCCCAGTCTGCCCCTACCCCAAGATAATCTGGAAGCCTGCAGATCTCTTTGTGTTTGGGGTAATTTCAGTGCCTTTTAGTCCATGCTGTTGTCCCTAGAGCCTGTGCAACTCCCATGAAAATCCTGCAGACTTCTTTGTATTTGATTCCATTTCAATCCACCTGAAAAAAGACAAACTCATAATTAATTTCTAGACAGACTTCTCTCTCTAGTCTTATCTGTGCTCCTTTGGCTATGTCAGGCTTCTGGGGACTTCTGTTTGAAGATTTTTTGTGTGTAGCTGAAAGTGTCTATTAGGCACAGCCTCAAACCTGACAGAGCCCCTCACCAAGGGTCATGCTGCCACACCACTGATTTTGTCCGTGCCCCCAGGCTATAGATTATTTTGAGAGTCTTTTGCTGGCTGGAAAGAGATGAAAGATCAGAAATGGCTTTATTTTCCATTCCCACAAGACCAGGCTCTCTCTATCCCTTCTAAATTCTTGTACAGACTGGGCAATGTTTTATTTCACTCATCTTTTTTACTTTTGAAAGCTTCCAATAAACAGCCGAGATCAGGTAGCTGGCACTTTCAATATTTTGGCTGGAGATCCCGTTGGTCACATCTGAAAGTTCATCAGGTATTTTGCAGGTGAGAGAATTGTGATCATTTCTCAGTCACCTCACGTGGTTCACATTTTTTTGGCCTCCAGGGACAATTTTCTCAGTATTTTTCCTCAACAATTTTCAATGATTTGTGCACAATTTTCTCACATCCCCATCTCCAGTCCAAAGGCCAGTGCTACACAGAAAAGGGTCTTGTTATGTCAGATCTAGGTTCTTTAGACCCAACCTCTGTATCCCTTTACTAAGGTCATGAGCCACAAGCCCTCACTAGCATAAACAATAAACATCCATGTTGTCTCACAAGTGTAGGAGTTGGGCTTTGTGACTCTGTCCCTCTGGGCTGGGAACAGCTGATATTAAAGGTCATGTTTTACTTGTGAGCTTCAAAGAGCTTGAGACTTTGGACTCTGACTTCAGGTAATCAATCACCAAGAAATGCCACAGTGTCCCAGGTGAGCCGTGTCCACCTCCTCCCCCTCCTGCCTTTGCAACAAAGCAGCTTTGACTTTGCAGTCAGGGTGTTCAGGACTCCAGATGTTCCCTCTAACTATAGACCTCTCTCTGTTGTGTTTTCGTTGTTCACAAACATTCAATAGCCTTTGGTGAAACAGTACGTTTTCTGAAGCAGTAAGCACATGGTAGAAATGAGTGAGTGATTAGGTACTAGCGGTAGTTAATTGTTAATGAATGAGGTATGCTGACTGACAGCTGGTGGAAATGGATGATCACCAGATGAATTTGGGGACCTGGAGTAACTCTGATTATGGACTGAACTGTGAACTACAAAAATTCATCTTGAAGTCTTAACCCCTGTACTTCATAATGGGCCTGTATTTGGAGGTAGGGTCTTTATTTAAAAAAATAATTATGTTAAAATGAGGTCATATGGGTGGGCCCTAATCCAATAGGACTTGTATTCTTGCAATAAAATGAGATTAGGACACAGACACACACAGAGGAAAGACCTCATGAAGACACAGAAGGAAGGGGGCCATGCGTAAGCCATGGAGAGAGGCCTCAGGAGGAACCAACTGTGCCCGAACCTCGACCCTGGACGTCCAGCCTCCAGAGCTGTGAGGACACACATTTCTGTTGTTGAAGGCTTATGGTAGGCTCATACAGCAACCCTAGAAAACTAATACACCCATGATGCTTAAGAAACATGAAGACAGAATATATAGCTTGTCAGAGAAAATTTATGGCTAAAGTATTAAGCATATTTACATATTAAAATATGTAAATAAGTTACATGTGTGAACAGTTTACATGTTAAAATAAAATAGTATGGGCATGGTGGCTCATGCATGTAATCCCAGCACTTTGGGAGGCCAAGGCAGGAGGACTGCTCGAGGCCAGGAGTTTCAGACCAGCCTGGGCAACACAGCAAGACCCTGTCTGTACTAAATAAATAAATAAATAATAGACTTTGTAATCTCAGCTGTGTTGTTGATTTTATAGAAATATCTGATGCTGATTAAATTACACAGTTTAACTATGTATAGTATAATGGCTTCAATTGGACTTCAATAATATAGAAATAAAATGCATTTTATTTTGTATCGAAAACTAGTGATATAAAAACATATTTATAAATTTTACATTTTTGCCTTTGAAACACACATTATGAAATAATCACATCCTTATATAATATGCTTTCTTATGTTATAAATCTTCCTATTCCTTTATTTTCAAATTTTTCACTCATATCATTTTTAGATTAAGTCTTGTTCACAACGTGTTCTATATTTTTCTTTTAATCATTTCTTTTGTGTTTTCATTATTCTTTCCCTTGCTCTGAGTTGTAAAATTTCTCCATAAATGTTTTCTACTTTTTCAGTGTTTCTACTGGCTGTTTTCATTTATGAGAAAAACATAATTAAACATGATTCAAGAAGTATGTAATAATTCAGACCAGCATCCTAACCCATCACGAGACTTTCAACAAAATTTTAGCTTTTATTCTCCTATACCCATGACTCTATTAAACTTATGCAGACTTTTAGCTCTAAGTCATTGCTAATTTGTAATAAAATATTTGTTACAAAATGTAGGACTACATTCTTAATACTTTCTTTAGATTTAAATTATCATTTTCAATCTTTTCTAAATCTGGCACCAGAAGATACTCTTATCATTCGCATGGACATTCTTTATCCTGTCACTTTAGCCCCACTCTTCCACTTATATTCCCGATTCAGATTTTAATTTGACAGATTTCAGACGCTTATTTCACAAGTATCTACTCTTCTGAAAGTGTTTCTTATTCCACACTTGTTTGAAAATGTCCTTTGTCCTGTGAAAACTATGAAGAACACTTTAACCTATTCTAAAATTCTAAGAGTAGAATTCTGCAATCTCATAGTGGTACAAAAATGAGTTTACTCCCCGTAGCAATAACTATGTTCAATAATAATAAACACAAAATGTATATAGGACCTTATGTTTACAAGTCATTGAACTAAAATCTTTACACTGATTCAACCTTCACAAGACTGTGGGGTTGATGTTGTTGTTATCAAAGTTAGTGTGTCTGATGCTAATGTGGTCATTTCCTGGCAGACAATTTATTTTCTCTATTTGGAAACTTATTGAATTCTTCATTTTTTAACTTAAGATCTTTACTAGCACGTGTGTATCTTTTTACTTTTTGAATCTCCCCTAGACTCAGTGATCCCTTTCGAGATGGAAAACTGAGTGTATTTTTATTTCAGGAGAATGTTCTTTTGTGACGTCTTTGATCACTCCCTCTTTATTATTCCTTTCTCATCTGGACTTCCTATGGAGAGTTGACAAGTGCTGGTTCTATTTTCTTTCATGGCTCGTAGGTTTTCTCTCATAATATTCATTTTATTAAAAAATTTTCTCTATGTCATAGACTAGTTTCCCAGCACAAACTCCTGAGTCACCGCATAAAGTCTCACTAGGGTCCTGTGTGAGTCACAGTATTCAGAGACTTGATATAGTTACTGTCGTCTTTGTTTCCAGTTATTCATGTTTCAGAGTTCTCCATTTTTTCAAAGTAGCTTCTTATAGTTTTAACGGTACCAATCCTTTTTATGCAATGGAAAATATGCATTCAAGGTTCTTCTTTATGGTTCATGTCAGTGGAGGAGACAAAATCGTTTGATCTCTCTCTCTCTAGATCTTCATTGACTTAAACATCCACTGGCTTTTCCCATGTGCCGGGACTCACAACAGAGACAGAGCAGCTGAGTCTGTGCCATGAGCAGGTGCGGGCCCATTCAACTGTGTGTGTCCCTCACTTGAGGGGCACTTGGGCAGAGGTTGGCCTGCGATCATAACCAGGAAGAGAGGATTCTTCTTTGGGTTGGATGAGTAATAAACGAACCTGTAGGCCTGCTCTTTTGATGAAATAGACGGCCACTATGTTCACCATTTTCTCCTTGATATGGCAAGTGACTGAAGTCAGCTCTCTCTAGGAAATACAGTGGGGGCACCTGCGGGGCTGGCTATGCAGTGACTGCGGTACAGAAGACAGTGGCCCAGGCTGCAAAGCAAGCCGAGTCCCGGGAAGATCAGGGTGTCCCTGCTGCTCAGACTGTTGCGGGTGTCGTTTTCATTCCGGGACAATGGGGGCAGTGGAGACTGTGCTATGCGTCTCACTGCTCTTGACAACACCATCTCCAAAGCTCCGGGCACCTGGGAAGGTGGAAGTCCTATGTCATTGCTGGGGTGCCCTGGGGCCTGGCACATGGAGCTGGACATCCTAGAAGTCTGTCCCTCATACTGGATGCCGAGGGTTTTCCCTGCACAATGTTTTCCGCAGACTGTGTTCTCTCTCATTAGTGCAAGGAGCCCTGAGTGGAGGGTTTTGGGGGATATTTGGTGGAGGACAGAAGCAATAAAGAAGGTGCAAAAGGAACACTCATTTCTTCCTCTTCACAATTTTTCCAATGATTCATCTTCTCCATTTGAACATCCTTGACAAAGCCGGAAGCACGGATTGTCATGAGCCAAGAACGTTTTCACTGATCATTGTTTCTTCAGGCCGGGTCATAGACACACAAGCCCCCTCCAAAGTAGCCCTTAGCTGTTCCTGCTTCCCGAGTTCTAAACTCGAACTCCTGGGGTTGCCTTCAAGGCCCGAGGCCAGGTGCCCTTGTCAGCCCGTTCAGAGTCCTGAGTCCTGGACCCACTAGGGAGATGCACAGGACTGGGCACAATTTCGGCAGGGCACAGAGGAAAACGTTCCCCTTGGGTAATTTCAAGGAAGAAGTTCAGCGGCAGGAATTGGGGGTGCAGGGTGGGGGCTGGTGCAGGGATGGGCTTTGCTACTGCTCCTCATCACACTGCACCTTAGCTGCTGCCTGGAAGTCACTTACTAACGAGAGGATGGTTCCATTCAGATATGCTTGCTGCTGCTGAAATGAACATATTTCATCTTTGGTTTGCATTACATAGAGTAGTTCTTAAATTATAGCACTAAACAAGGTGCTTCAACTTATTTCCATGAGTATTGAAATAGACGCTAAACATGGCAACTCATTGTGCATAATGTACGAACCTATTTTTATTTAATGTGGCAGTTCGTTAATACCACAGCTCCTGTAACTGCTCAGCACACAACCTAGAATTTCTCAAGCTTCAAGAACAATGGCGAGAATGGTACCAAGGGTCTGTTTGCCCTCCTTTAAAACAGGATTCTCTATGTTTTATCCTGATCAACTTTCATACTTTCTCTGCAGAATTATATAGTGCAAGACATTTGGAGATATCAGAAACCTAGGAGAAAATGTGCTTGAAACATAGATAGTAATATGATCAAGCTAGAAATTAGGAGTCGTGGTCTGCTGTATGTTGAGAAGCATGAGGCAAGACGCATGAAGCTGGCAGAAACAGCATGATTTCAAAATGTATGCTAAATACTAATTTGTGTCATGGATATTTTATCTCTTCTTTCTCTCCCTCCCGTTAATCTTTTCTCACAGCATGCTCAGGCAGAAGAAGATAATAATTAAGCCCATCTGCATTGCCTTTCACTGTCTTCAGGAATTTATGAAATGAGACAGAAGAATAGGCATCCAAAAAGCTCCATTCTGAACGTGGTATGATATTTACATCTTGTGAGTTTAAATAAAATTCACACTGCTGACCCTACTGCCCCAGTGCAGAGCTGTTAGTTTGCGATATCACACTCAGGTTGCACTGTGTCCAGGTGGCAGGATGGAGCTGGATGGGCGGTTCTGCTCAATGGAGCTGGATGGGCAATTCTGCTCAATGGAGCTGGATGGGCAATTCTGCTCAATGGAGCTGGATGGGCGATTCTGCTCAATGGAGCTGGATGGGCGATTCTGCTCAATGGAGCTGGATGGGCGATTCTGCTCAGTTGCAGGAATGTAACTCCCAGAGCTGGTGGTGCCCACTTTTATACAACAGAAAGAGGTACAGTTTCTATCTATCTCAGGGTATTGCCAGAGAGGCTGTGAAGATAAGAGGTTAGGAACTGTGAAAGTTTGGGTATCTCCATGGTATGTATGATCATTATGATTTGAATAATTCTAACCCTCTGAAATTAAAGACACCCAATACTAGGCATGGTGGCTGACGCCTATAATCCCAGAACTTTGAGAAGTCAACCAGGAAGGATTACTTAAGGCCAAGAGGTTGAGACCAGCCTGGGCAACATAGCAGGACCCTGTCTCTGCAAAACAAAACAAACAAACAAAAAATCATACACTTTTTAAAAATCACATTTTATGCAAGCTGCATATATCTTCCTTGATAAGTTATTTCTGTATAACAATTCAGTGTCAGGAAGGGGAATATCACACTCTGGGGACTGTTGTGGGGTGGAGGGAGGGGGGAGGGATAGCAATGGGAGATATACCTAATGCTAGATGATGAGTTAGTGGGTGCAGCACACCAGCATGGCACATGTATACATATGTAACTAACCTGCACAATGTGCACATGTACCCTAAAACTTAAAGTATATTAAAAAAAGACAAAAAAAAAAAACAATTCAGTGTCTACAAATGGAAATTTGCTTAGTGACATAAGTCTTACTAAATTGTCTTTGTCAGTGAAATAAAGGGAAAATATTAGGCGATGGACACACTGACCAAGGTTAGGCTTAGCTTTGAAATGTGAGCAAGGACAACATAAACAGAAAACATTCATTAAGATTCAGGATATAGGATACCTGATACAGGAAACCCAAGTTCAGAATACAGGATTGGATTGTTGTTGCCATGATAAGTTTTGTTTGTTTGTTTGTTTGTTTGTTTGTTTTCACAGTCCCTACTGGCCTTAGGCAGTAAACACACAACAGGTCAAAAACAACAATTTACCATATGTATTTAATTCTATTGTTTCCCAAATTTGACTGGAATAAACATAAAGAACACCAAAGGGATGCAATGATTGTGGTTTTAAGAGTAGGAATATGGGCTCTGGTAGATGAGCTATTTTGGCAAATTTGTATAAGATAGAAAATAGATAAGGTTTATCTAATAGATACATCACAGAAGAAAGGACTCGTCTCAAACACAAATTCAAAGTGAGAGGAAGATATCCTGGCAAAGCTCCCAATTTATTGTTTGGCATTTAGAGAGGGCAGATGTGGGTATGGAGTCAAGGTGGTTAATTAATTAATTAATTAATGGCTATTTGCAGATGACCTGTAAGGTCCTCATGCAATTTCTTTCCTCAAGTTCAAGCCCAAGTTCCTGCACAAAGACAAATGATATCCCAAATCTTCCAGTTGATCTGCTGTGCTGGGCGATGTTTCCAGGGGGGAATGCAGCTGAGTGTGGCACCTGAGGGAGTCTCAACCAATTCAACAGCCCACTGTGCAGCCACGTTGAACTGAAGCTTAGCTATTCACTTCCCAGCCCATCTGCAAAGCGCTTCCCCAACACTGCCCTATAGATTATAAACGTCTGATTTACCAGACTGTGGGTAGAAAAGGAAAATAAATACATCACCATTTTATATTAACCAAAAAAATGTGATTTTGACGTACAAATACACATCAATGAACATACATGTGAAGCACTATGAAAGAAAGTCATGAATAGGAACAATCACAACAGAAGCTGCTGGCCATCAGTACAGACAGTGGAGAACTGAAGAGCACAAAATATACAAAATTAGCACATTTAATTTTCATTAAACACCTTATAGAAAACTTGAGGGAAGCCAATTACAATACAAGAATAGGCTGTTCTAATAAAGGAACTATGCAGAGATTTTAAAAATTAGTCTTGTCATTTGAAGTATAATCATAAATTAGCCAGGCGTGGTGGCACACGCTTGTAGTCCCAGCTAATCAGGAGGCTGAAGCAGTAGAATCGCTTGAACCTGGGGGGCGGAGGTTGCAGTGAGCCAAGATCACGACACTGCACTCCAGCCTGGGTGACAGAGCGAAGCTCCATCTCAAAAAAACAAAACAAAACAAGTCATTTGAAATATAATTATTACAATGTAAAAAAACCAATAGGATATTTATAGTACAAATCTAAAAACACTCAGATAATTAGAATACAACAACAAATCTAGAAAACAGGTGAGCAAGACAATTCATTCAGGCAAAGCCAATGATTCAAGACTGGTAATGTACACTTTATAGGAGGGGCAGAAAGAAAGAGTGGAGACCATGCCACGGAGGATAAACTTTTATTTCAAATAAAAGCTGCACTGTTACAAGCTGAAGAAGGATGACTTTTCATGCAGAAGGGTACACGGAGCAACACAACCAGAATGGATGAGCTACCATGGAACGCAGTGATAGAAGGATGCTCTCAAGAGCTGCCCAGGAAGAAATGAAGAGCGGGTTCCCTTCAAAAGCCTCAGAAGTAGACCAGCCTTGACCACTTTCGTTCTTAAAGGCAATGGAGTGTCATATCAATTTCAAAGGAAGGTACTTTTTAAGATCAAATCCCATATCAAACCAAATTATTGCTCAATAATAAACACAGTTTCAGACAAAGAAAAAGTGTCTTTCTAACCATCTTTCAAGAAAAAATAAATTCAGGGTGGTCCTTGGCAGAACTGAAACTCAATCTAATCAGGATGAAGATGTGAGGTTTGGGGCAGGGGAGGGGAACATTCTTCCGGTGAGTGTGCCAACAATACTCAAACGCCAGTTACAAGTGCAGGTGAAAACCACTTCTATAAAATAAAAACATGGCACAAAAGTGAGAGATTAAACGTGGGCAATTGGATCCAATAAAAGAGTGTAATGAACACAAATATTTTTAACTTTGACAAGAAATTTTCTTTCATTTTAGTGTCACGAGAATTTGTTACGTATGTGACAAATAACATTCAGATAACTATAATACTGTTAATATTGCTTATTCAATTTTCGTGTTTAGAATCATCATACACATACATTGAATGGTTGGAACTTGCCTGTATGCCGCCATTTTGGGTAACAAAAGCAATGATGTGATTAAGTCTAACACGAAGCATAGAGAGGGAAATTAAAAAGTTGATTATGAAAGAGCATTTATGATTAAAGAGGTAACAAAGATAAAACTAAAAATAAGAAAATAACAAAAACATTTGGGAAAGAGAAAGTAAGACAGAGAAAAAATGATACATTGATCTTCTAGTCACAGCTGACTAAACAATCACGGTTGTGTAACAATGATGAAAACAATCACCATTTAAGGGATTGCTCCCGGGGGTGAGGAAATCAGCCTGAGGACTGAAAGGGAAAGACACAGCCCACGGCTTTCAATTTTCATTTAGAATCCAATTTTATTTAAAGAAGTAATTATGGCCAGGTGCAGCGGCTCATATCTGTAATCCCAGGGCTTTGGGAGGCTGAGGTGGGCGCATCAAGAGGTCAGGAGATCGAGACCATCCTGGCTAACATGGAGAAACCCCGTCTCTACTAAAAATACAAAAAAATTAGCCGGGCATGGTGGCGGGTGCCTGTAGTCCCAGCTACTCAGGAAGCTGAGGCAGGAGAATGGCATGAACCCGGGAGGTGGAGCTTTCAGTGAACCGAGATCGCGCCACTGCACTCCAGCGTGGGCGACAGAGCGAGACTCCATCTCAAAAAAAAAAAAAAAAAAAAAAAAAAGCAATTACGAAAATAAGAAAACAACCCCCTGCCCACAGAGCCATAACCATGTGATTCTTCACATTCAAACTTCCTCTAGTATCTTCTATATCTAGAAAGTTTCCAAGACTTAAAAGGAGGGTTGATTTAAAAAAATAGTATCTGGGAACTTCTCTGAAAATCGTAATAAAAATGCACAGCCCTCCACTCTTCCTAACAATCAACAGCGGTCATATCAGGAAAAGTGATTTGAGGGCAGTGAACCCACTTCCCAGAGAAACAAACCATGACTCGTAAAAGGAATTTTTAAAAAGTGTGCTTTAAAGTCTTTGGAAACATCCTACAGGTATATAGCAACTGAAAAGTGTCTCCTCAAGAAAGTCTACCAGGTCTCTGTAGAGCTAAGAAGGGCGTGTGGCCCTCCCAGCCCTGCTCAGCAGGACACAGCTCCACTCTGGGCGGCCGCAGGGTCAGGAGGAGGCTCCCTCTCCTCATGGTCTTTCGGGTCCTGGTGATTTTCTGGGAGGAGCAGGGCACCAGCTTCCTTACTCCCCCTGGCTGGATGTCCCTGAGCTAAGTCCCAGGCGACTTCCATCGCAGGATGCAGCTCTTTCCCTCAGCCAGCCCCGCTTTGTAGGGCAGAAGCTCCTCCCAGGCTGAGGGCTGAGCTTCCTAGGCAGGTGGCCCTGACCCAGCTTGCTGGTGGGTTTCACACTGATAGCAGCAAACCCAGAAGACCAGAGATGGCTTTGACACCAGGCACCCAGCTTTTGAGGCAGGGCACCCCTGAGAGACAGTCCCCCTTGTCTTCACCCCATCCCAGATCCAAGTCAGTGGTTCAGATTTTGCCCAGGGAGAGGCAGGCAGTAAGAACCGAGGCTCCAGAACTCTCTGGGAGAGCTGACTGTATTTAGAACAGACAGTTGGAACATTCAGGCCGGGCAGCATTCCCCATCACAATGGAGATGGTGGTGGCGAGCAATTAGGAGGGCACAGAGAACTCTGTGACAGCAGCAGTGTCACCTTCAGGCCAGCTAATTCGCAAGGAGAACACGGTAAGGGGCTGAGCAGGGCTTTCCTGAGGTCAGAACACGTTCCAAGATCTGCCTCTGAGTGGGGTATCTTTGTGCTTATCCCACTTGGAGACTAGCAAGCTTCTTGGATGTGTGGATTAATGTTTATCACCAAAGTTTGGAAGTGCACAGCCATTATTTCTGTGACTACTTTCTCCTATTTATTAATATTCTCAATAAAGAATATATATATTTATTAAGACACATATACCATATACATATATATATTAATATATAGACAGAGACAAAAAAATTCTCCAGAAAGAAACTAAGCCCATACTTCTTTTCAAACCATATCCTTTGTGAAATGTGTACCTTTATGTAAACCAGAATAAAGCATAAAATCTAAGAAAGTTTTAACAGCATCTAAGGAAATATGAGAAATAAGAATTCACCAGTATCATTTTGAGACAAACGTCAATGCTTGTTAAACTTTTCTCAATTCAAGAATGAGAGAAGACAGCCATAATAAAGAGAATTCCAAAACTATTAAGTATAAAGTATTACGAGATAATACACCAAAAACAGCATCATGAAATACACCAAATCTGTTGCTCCGTGTTTACCCTGAGAACATTTTGACCACATCTCTTTACACTCTCAGAAGTAAGAAAGGTATTGTGGGCTTTTTTAAATAGGAAAGGATAAGGTAGCTACAAGAAACAGGCAGAGATGAAAAGAAAGTTGATTGTGTTAAGAAAAGAATGAGGAAAAAACGATATAGCATAAATCAAAATGACAATAGAAACTGAAAGGAGATTAATCCCTACTGCAGAAGCTCATATCAGTGTGATGTGAATAATGACAGTCATAACTTTTTTCTTTTACTAGAATGAAGCAAAGAAGGAATTTTAGAAATAAAACGTACATAATGAAAGAAAACTTTCTTGAACTGGAAAACAGCCTGACTCTATAAAGCAAAAAACCCTAAAAAACAGACCTCCTTCTGAATGGTGGAGACTGCATTCATAGGAAAGTTGGCCTCTCCCCAAGGCAAAATAAACGAAGAAGAAGAATGTGTGGACACACACACAAACACTCCATTAAATTATGAAGATTATGTTTTATAAAGAAGTTTTCAACCAAAAAAATTGTTCTGTAAAAATGATGGTTTCATTGGTAAAATTGGGGTTAATTCTAGCAAATTTAAGATTCACAAAGTTATTTTGCACTGCAAGAATTTCTACTAAAAATGATTTGGAGCTAATAACCTTGGCATTACTGCAGAAGCTCTGTCTTTCCACACAGCAAGGCTTAGCTCACGTTGCACCTCCTCGATTCTCCTCACTACCCGATCACCAAAACGGTGCTTTTTAATATTTTCTTTAAAAATGTTGCACCCTTTATTAGGACACAGCACAAATCCACTCAAACCTAGCAGCTGTCCAGCATGCTGCAGCTTTTGTTCCATGCTAATTGGGGCTAGTTCCAGATGGGAGTATTAATTACTGATTTCAATTGCAGTTTTACTAATAGCAGTTCATATGATACAAATCTCATTCCCTAATTAAGTGACAGACGACAATATATTCAGTCCATATTATGAAATTTTACTGTCTCCAGTAAAAGCCTGTATTACCAAACCAAAAGAGATACCTTTTCTTTACCTCTACTAATTAAAGACTTTGAGATAATTATCAAATCTCTAAAATTGTGTGGGGGTGGGGGCACAGTTTGGCTTAAAGATTTTCTACATTATTGCATGACAAGATACAGAATAAGATCTGCAGAATTACAAGGAAAATAATTTTGACCCCTAAATTATATAAGCAACTACATATGAGCAACGACATAGCTCATAGCCTGATTTAAAATAACATAACGTCATACCCAAAATACCCTGACTTAATCCGTACATATTCTATGCATGTAACAGAATACCCATGTACCTCATAAATATGTATTATATATATAAAAAACAGAAGCAGTCCAGTAAAAATAACATTAATTCAGATATTCTAGGGCTTCACATGTGTGCTAAGCCTAGACTCACTCTGACCATTTAATCTGAAGTTATACTCTAGCTACACGAGGTATAAATTGGAAGACTATTGTTGTTCTTAACGTTTCTTTGTGAGTTGATTAGTTGATTTTCAGTGGCATTATTATATTAAATTATTGGTGGTGAACACTGTGAGAAATTTCTATGTAAGTTTAATAATAATTCTTGTTGGCTGGGCTCCGTTGCTGACGCCTGTAATCCCAGCACTTTGGGAGGATGAGGTGGGCAGGTCATGAGGTCAGGAGATCGAGACCGTCCTGGCTAACATGGTGAAACCCTGCCTCTACTAAAAATACAAAAAATTAGTCGGGTGTGGTGGCGGGTGCCTGTAGTCCCAAGCTACTCAGGAGGCTGAGGCAGGAGAATGGCGTGAACCTGGGAGGCGGAGGTTGTAGTGAGCCTAGATCACGCCACTGCACTCCAGCCTGGGAGACAGAGTGAGACTCCGTCTCAAAATAAATAAATAAATAAATAAATAAATAAATAAATAAATAAATAAAATTATCATCAACCTCTTTTGAGGATCTGCTGTGATCAAATTGTGATTGAAAGCATTTGATGAAGATTAACTCATTTACTCTTCAAACCAACTCAATATGACCATATGCATGCTTTTAAAAAAATTTTAAATTTACATGCATAATATCACTATCAATTTCACACTAAAGCAATGAAGGGAAATCACATATCTGCAGGCAGTAGATATTAGGAAGTATTAATATGAAAGTCTATTAATAATTTTTAGAAAACAACTGCAATTTTATTTCTTACATCGAAAATTACAGCCATATAAATGTTAACAGATATCTATTATATTTAAATGCTGAGATATTACACTTGCAAAATGACTGGAGGAAAACAATAGTACAAAGAAAGACAATATGTCAGGTAAAAAATAAGCAAAATAGGAAGATATTAAAATATGAAATAAGTTTACAAATTATAGCCAGATATTTTTAGTATTACAATAAATGTAAATGAGATAAATAGACTTATTGAAGAAAAAACACTCTAAACTTTATTTCTAAAAATTACATCCAACTAAATGGAGTATTGCATTTCTATATACTACTAGCAATGAGCACGTGGGAACTGAATTTAAAAACACACTGCAGTTACAATCACACAAAAATAAAATATCTAGGTATCAATCTAACAAAAGATAGAAACAGTTTATATGGGTTTGTACAGGTCAGCTGTCAAACGCAAAGGTAGATAGGGAAGCCAGAAGGGCAACAAAATTATCAGACACATATAGTGTATCCTTTCCCTTCCTTTCACTCAATATAAAGACCATACAATATTCCTCTTGGATTCGTTCTGATAATATATAATTACTGAGTTTAAATCTATCATGCTAGTATTTTCTCTTACTTTCTTTCTTTCTTTCTTTCTTTCTTTCTTTTTTTTTTTAATGGAGTTTCACTCATGTTGCCCAGGCTGGAGTGTAGTGGTGCAATCTTGGCTCACTGCAACATCCACCTCCAGGGTTCAAGAAGCTCTTGCTTCGGTCTCCTGAGTAGCTGGGACTATATAGGCACACACCACCACACCCAGCTAATATTTGTATTTTTAGTAGATATGGGTTTTCACCACATTGATCAGGCTGGTCTCGAACTTCTGACCCCCTGTGATCCACCCTCCTTGGCCTCCCAAAGTGCTGGGATTACAGGCGTGAGCCACTGCGCCCGGCCTGTATTTTCTTTCTATTGACATCATATTGTCAGTATTTCCTTTTCTTTTATTCCTTCCATTTTTGGATTAATTGTTGTATTAATTTTAATTTTCTTCTCTCTATTGGCTTATTTGGTATATTTTGACGGGTTTTTTTTAGTGGTTACCTTGGTTATTACAATATGTATTCTTGCTTCAGTAAAATCTAATGAAAAAAGTAGTATTCTTGCTGATACCAGAATAATTCAGTGACCACAGTACATTTCAACTCCATTTATTCTCTTCCTGGTTTTTGAACTATGGTGTTCATGTATTTTACTATATATGTTTATAACCCACAAAACATTATATTGTTGTTTTAAGTGGTCAATAGGTAAATATCCAATTCCATTAATTCACACATTTTCTTTTTCACAGATTTTTTATATTTTTCCATATATTCATGCATCCTCTTCTTGCTATCCAAGAACATTTTAGAGCTCTTGGAATAATGCATTAATGTGTTTCGTTTTGAGTAATTAATAAATTGAGTAACAATTTTTTCTATTTTACTTGCTTGCTTGCTTGCTTGAGGATGTTGTACTTTAGTCTTCAGTTTGAAAAACGTACCTACTTATTTTCTTTTAGCTCCATATAGTTAAATTCTATAGTCTGGCTTCCACTTTTTTTGGCGTTTTTGTTTATTTGTTTGTTTCTATTTTTATTTTTTGAGACAGGATCTTTCTCTGTCACCCAGATTAGAGGGCAGTGGCATGATTGTAGCTCACTGAAGCCTCAACCTTCCCAGCTCTATCAATCCTCTTGCCTCAGCCTTCTGAGTAGCTGGGACTATAGGTGCACACCACCATGCCTGGCTAATTTTCATTTGTTGTTATTGTTGCTTTTGGTAGAGATGGGGTTTTGCCACACTGTCCACCCTTTTGGTAAGAAGTAATCTATCAATCTTATTATACTGCTTTGAAAATGTAATGTATCTTTTCTCTGGTTACCTGATTTGGTTTGGCTCTGTCCCCACCCAAATCTCATCTTAAATTCCTATGTGTTGTGGGAAAGAACCAGTGCGAGGTAAATGAATCATGTGGGCAGGTCTTTCCCATGCTGTTCTTGTGATAGTGAATAAGTCTCATGAGATCTGATGGTATTGTAAGGGGGAGTTTGCCTACACAAGCTCTCTTTGCCTGCTGCCATCCATGTAAGACGTGACTTGCTCCTCCTTGTCTTCCACCATGATTGTGAGGCCTCCCTAGCCACATGGAACTGTAAGTCCATTAAACCTCTTTATTGTGTAAATTGCCCAATCTCAGGTATGTCTTTATCAGCAGTCTGAAAATGAACTAATACAGTAAATTGGTACCAGTAGAGTGGGGTGCTGCTGAAAAGATACCTGAAAATGTGAAGGCAAATTTGGAACTGTGTAACAGGCAGAGTTTGGAACAGTTTGGGGGGTTCAGAAGAAGACAGGAAAATGTGGGAAAGTTTGGAACTCCCTAGAGACAAGTTGAATGCTTTGACCAAAATGCTGATAATGATGTGGACAATGAAATCCAGGCTGAGGTGATCTCAGATGGAGAATGAGGAACTTGTTGGGAACTGGAGCAAAGGTGACTCTTATTATGTTTTAGCAGAGACTGGCAGTGTTTTGCCCTTGCCCTAGGGATTTGTGGAACTTTGAAGTAAGAGGAATGATTTAGGGTATATGGTGGAAGAAATTTCTAAGCAGCAAAGCATTCAAGAGGTGACTTGGGTGCTGGTAAAGGTGTGCAGTTTTAAAAGAGAAACAGAACATAAAAGTTTGGAAACTTTACAGTCTGACAATGCAATAAAAAAGGAAATCCAATTTTCTGAGGAGAAATTAAAGCCAATTGCAGAAATTTGCATAAGTAACTAGGAGCCAAATGTTAATCCCCAAGACAATGGGGAAATGTCTCCAGGGTATGTCAGAGACCTTTGGGACAGCCCCTTCCATTACAGGCCTGGAGGTTTACGAAGAAAAAATGGTTTTGTGGGCCAGGGAGTCCCTCTGCCATGCGCAGTCTAGGGACGAGATGATATCCTGCCGCCCAGCTGCTCTAGCTGTGACTAAAAGGGGCCAAGGTACAGCTTATGATGTTGCTTCAGAGGGTGGAAGCCCCAAACCTTGGCAGCTTCTACAATGTGTTGAGCCTTCAGGTTCACAGAAGTCAAGAATTGAGGTTTGGGAACATTCACCTACATTTCAGATGATGTATGGAAGTTTGCTGCAGGGGTGGAGGCCTCATGGGGAACAATTGCTAGGGCAGTGCAGAAGGGAAATGTGTGGTTGGAGCCCCCAAACAGGGTCCCTACTGGGGCACTGCCTACTGGAGCTGTGAGAAGAGGGCCACCATCCTCCAGAACCCAGAATGATAGATCCACTGACAGCTTGCTCCATGCATCTGGAAAAGCCACAGACACTCAAAGCCTGCTTGTAAAAGCAGCCAGAGGGGGTGCAAACCCCCTCCCTGAAAACCCTGCATACCCACAGGGGCAGAGCTGCCCAAGGCCATGGGAGCCCACCTCTTGCCTCAGCATGACCCGAATATGAGACACGCAGTCAAAGGAGATCATTTTGGAGCTATAAGATTTGACTGCTCCACTGCATTTCAGACTTGCATGGTGCCTGTAGCCCCTTTGTTTTGGCCAATTTCTCCCATTTGGAACAGCTGTATTTACAGGCATTGGCCTGTACTCCTATTTTATCTAGGAAGTAACTAACTTGCTCTTGATTTTACAGGCTTATAGGCAGAAGGGACTTACCTCGTCTTGGATGAGACTTTGCACTTTGGACTGTGGACTTTTGAGTTAATGCTGAAAAGAGTTAAGACTTTAGGGGACTGTTCGGAAGGCATGATTTGTTTTGAAATGTGAGGACATGAGATTTGGGAGGGGCAAGCATGGAATAATATGGTTTGGCTGTGTCCCCATCCAAATCTCATCTTGAATTCCAATGTGTTCTGGGAGGGACCCAGTGGGAGGTAATTGAATCATGGTGGCAGGTCTTTCCTGTGCTGTTCTAATGATAGTGAATAAGTCTCATGAGATCTGATGGTACTGTAAGGGAAAGTTTCTCTGCACAAGCCCTCTGTTTTCCTTCTGCCATCCACGTAAGATGTGACTCGCTCCTCCTTGCCTTCCACCATGATTGTGAGGCCTCCCCAGCCACGTGGAACTGTAAGTCCATTAAACCACTTTCTCTTGTAAATTGTCCAGTCTCCTCAGGTATGTCTTTATCAGCAGCATGAAAATGGACTAATAAATCACCTAAAGTTGTTTTATTTTTTATTTGCTTTTCAACAGTTTTACTACATATCTTCGTTCTCCCTCTCTCTCTCTTTCTCTCTCTCCCCATTTCTCTACTAGTGTAGTATATACGCACAATATGAAGATTGAAAATTACAAAATTTATATTGTATTATTAATATTATAGTTCTTAGTAAGCTAAGAGAAAAACTACATTACCTTAATTGTATGTAACAGTGCTGTGAGAATATAATAAATTATAATATAATTGAGATAGTCCATCAAAGTCAGAACAAGGCAAGGATATGCACTCTTTTTAAAATATTGTGGAAGAAGTCCTAGCCAAAAAATCACATAATGATAATTGTATGTGTGCCTATTTTAAAGGAGAGATTATTTTTGTTATTATAAAATACATTGATTTTCATTGATATTGTATTTGTTTCTCTTTTTTTTTCTTGTTGTTGCTGAGACAGAGTCTCACTCTGTCTCCACGCTTTTTATTATTAGAAAATACATTGGTTTTCATTGATATTGTATTTGTTTCTCTCTTTTTTTTCTTGTTGTTGAGACAGAGTCTCACTCTGTCTCCACGCAGTGGTTCTATCTTGGCTCACTGCAACCTCTGCCTCCTGGGTTTAAGCAATTCTCCTACCTCAGCCTCCAGGCTAGCTGGGACTACAGGCGTGCACCACCATGCCCGGCTAATGTTTTCCTATTTCAGTAGAGATGGGGTTTCACCATGTTGGCCAGGCTGGTCTCAAACTCCTGAGCTCAGGCAATCTGCCCACCTTGGCCTCCCAAAGTGCTGGGATTGCAGATGTGAGCCACCACGCTCAGCCGATTTTCATTGTTATTTTATTTCTGTTGTTCCGCAGTAATGTCAAGGTTGTCAGCTACAAATCATTTTCAGTATAAATTCCTGCAATGCAAAATAACTTTGTGAATCTTAAATTTGCTAGAATTATCCCCAAATAGCACCAGCTGCATGGTGCCTCCTCTTCAGAAGTCCGAGGCCCGTCCCTGTGAAGTCCTCATCTGACCCCGTAAGATGCCCACTGGCCCTTTGCAGGTGTCTGGTCCCAGTCTCGGGGAAACACCTTAGACTTTCTACATTCTAATCATCCCAGCTTTTCCGCTTTCCTTTCATTCCCCTCGGACTCCTCTCTGAAGTCACTGTCTCTGTTTTAGCACAGTGTTTTAGTTTTGTCTTTTCAATCCCCAATACCCATGTGTTCAATTACCTAAATTGATTTTCTCAGTTAAAACATTTCTTCCTTGAGGAACAGCAATATAAAATGCCTAATATGTTTCTGTTTGAATTATTCCTTCTACTGCTATGAAAGCTACATTTCGCCTAACAATTTTGAATTGAGTATTTGTGAAATTTCTAAAACTTTTATTGCTTTTTTACTTTGCAAATTAATAATTATTCAATATTAATATTAAATCTAGTATTTTTTCAATTGATGTACTTGGATATTGTAAGCAGAAAATCAATTGTTCTTTAATAATAAAATAAAAATAATCTCTTATCTAAAATAGGCATGCATATAATTATTATTATTATTATTATTATTCAGAGATTTTTTGGCAAGGACTTCCTCCACAATATTTATAAAAAAAGGGTGCATATATTTGCCTTGCCCTGACTTTAATGGACTATCTCAATTA
Organism: Homo sapiens; assembly: GCF_000001405.40. NCBI lineage: Eukaryota > Metazoa > Chordata > Mammalia > Primates > Hominidae > Homo > Homo sapiens. Next base: position 2,061,636 of record NC_000010.11, on the reverse strand, counting down.
TTTTATACTTAATAATATTTTCATGGCTCTGTTTCATATAATCAAGTTAATGTAGTTCTTCTCTTAGCTTACTAAGGATTAGAATTTATTTTATTATTAGGTTTCCAAATGTTGACCCATTTTTCCCTTCCTGGCACATGTTGTTATGTGTATGGTGATTCATTTGGCTATTATTTTACTTTGGATACTCCATGTTTTATTAGAACGTTACACATCCACACACACCACACACACACACATGCACACATTTATTCACATCTGGGGGCACAGCATCCAATATGGGTATTAGAGCTTGATAAACCACTTTTAAAAACCTGCAATGTTTCCCTCTCTGCATATTCTGCACAGGTATAAATAATTTAAGATTATTTTTCCTTGAAATTGAGTACAATTTCTACATAAAATAATCTCAATTAAGGGTCAATTTGGGTTACAAGGTTTTAATACTTTTCAAATATTTTGATAATTTTTGATTTATCCAACATTTATAATTATATGTGAAGTAATATGGAAAAGTTTTGAAAAAATGGTGTTCATTTTATTTAGATTTTCCAATATACTAATGTGATTTGTTCATAGGTGCCTCTTCCAGTTTGAATTTTAAAATTTGTGGTTGTATCCCCCACTACATTACTATTAATATTTATTTATATTTTTCTATATTTCAAAATTGATTTCCAGAAAATTGTACATTTTTTCAAAGAAGAACATTATCTAAGTTCTTGTGTCAGATCCTTTTCTTATTATTTTAAGTATTTCTTATCTGTCATTTCTAAGTCTCTGTATTTTTCTTATATATAAAGCTTTCTAAAAATACTGTTATTAAAATAAAATCAGAGTATTATTTGTTTTATTGCTTTTTTTTCTTTTTTTGAGACAGAGTCTCACTCTGTGGCCCAAGCTGGAGTGCAGTGGCATGATCTTAGCTCCACTGTGACCTCCATCTTCGAGGCTCAAGTGATTCTTGTGCCTCAGCCTCCCACGTAGCTGGTACTACAGGCACCCACCACCATGCCTGGCTAATGTTTTGTATTTTAGTGGAGACGGGGTTTCACCATGTTGCCCAGGGTGGTCTTGAATTCCTGAGCTCAGGCAATCTGCCTGCCTCGGCCTCCCAAAGTGCTGGAATTGCAGGCATGAGCCACCACATCCAGCCTTTGTTCTTAATATATAATTAATTTAACTATGATCAATGTGACTAGAGTTTTATTTTATACTTTCTTACTGGCCTAGTATTTAGCATATGTATAAAAATTAAAATTGTCTTTTATTATTATGTAAAGTGTTTTGACCTTCAACATCATCATTAATCCTTTTGTGTTTTGACATATACCATCCATACAATAAAAAAAACAAGGGGAAATGTTATAAAATCTATTGAGTTTATACATTAGAAAATCAATTTGTCTACATATAATAATGACAGTACTTCAACCCTACCAATATTTACTACTTTATTTTATTTTGTCTCCCATTTGCATTGTCCAGTATTTTCAAATCAAAGTTAAAATTTGTACTATAGAAAACATTTTGAAAAATTATATTTCCTGATTGTAATGGAAATGCTTCTAGCGCAGTACTTTCCAAACATTATTTCTTAAATCTCTGGTCCCTAGAGATGCTGCTTAAGAAAATATTCAGTGGTAAATACATTTGGACTATTTCACACCGCCTTGTTTATTCTTTCTTTGATGTTTTCTTCTCTTTACTGATACCTGTCATTTTCCCTAGGGATTAGACTAACATACATTCAGTTTTCCCTAACTCCAATTTCACATCTCAAATGTTGATTCCTTTATCATTTGCATGAATGACTTATTCAATGCTTTGGATTTTCGATTTCTTGATAGGTTCATTTCTCCTGAAATTTTCCTTTTTATGTTGAGATATTATGCTGCAGAGTCTGCTGCTGTAATTCCGTAAGGGCAGTTCAGCCATGAGCAGCCTGAGAGCTGTCAATGTTTGTCGTTAAAGTGGAGGAATTCAGGGCAGGACCTGTCTCTGTTTCTTTCCTCTTACTGCCCCTCTCTTTGATTGAAATCCCTTCCCTACCCTCTCTGCTTTTGTTCTAAGGCCATAGTTTATCCTGGTTTTCAAACCTGGTTTCTCACTGGTGCAGCTCTGTCAATCACCCTGCGTAAGCTCTGCCCTGCGTCCTGTTTTCTGAGTGTTAGAGCTACCGCAGGACCACTGGATTCCTGGTGCTGCTGTGATTTGCAACCACACGGAGCCTGTTGACATCCTCCACATCCTCTCCTTTCTCAGCTTAAGAGGGTCTCTCTCTGGGTCTTCTGAACTCAGTGTGACGAATGAGGACTATAAAATGGAAGGAACGGGGGCAATAATCTCATGGTATGTACGTGTATCTGTTTTTATAGGTCATGCTTTACAGTAGCTTTAAAAAACAAGTTAGATCATTTTATCTAAAATATTACGGGCATGTTTATAATATTTAACCTCCTGTTTTTCAGAAAGTTATCATCGGGAATCCAAGTGCTGTTATGGATGGTACAAGTGGCCAAACTTTACAGTAAAATATTCCTGTTCTTGAAAATAAATGTTAAGGAGTCTGCTTGAAATACTAATTATATTACTTAATAAACAGTCTTTTAAATAATTAGATGTTAAATATAGTTGACAAATTTTTTTTCAGCAATGGTGTCAATTAGGTGCAACTCATCCTGAACCAAACTACTCTTAATTTACTAGGACTTGAAGCTTCAATCCTACAGGGGGAAAGAAAAGTAAAACCAATGGTTTAGATGTGAAAGTTTAAATTCTAACTTGATTTTGGCTTCTTACCTGATGGATTTTAAACTGTTTGGGAGATTCTGAGGTCTTCTAATATAAGTGCTTCAACTTATAGTTGGGACCTCACATCTATGTGTTATTTGTAACTTTTATTTGTTTGTTTATTTTGGCTGATATTTGTTTATTTATTGCTGCTATTAATTTATTTGTTTATTTTGGTCTGGAATGAGTTTATCCATTGGGTATATTTTAAGTTACACAATAAATCAACTTTATTCCTATAGAAAAAAATCAACCGTGTAGGACAGAAATAACTGCTTGAGATTAACTACTATTTACCATAATTTAAGCTCATGGTCTCCTGCCAATCTTAGACCTCTCTCCGCTCCATCCCTGCAGCACTTTTTTGTTTTCCTACATGGCTTCGGGTTCTTATCTAGTTTATATATTTCCAAAATGCGGTCCTCTGATCACCAACGTGACGTGATTTGGGGTGTTTTAAAAGGTGAAGGTATATTTACCATAAAATTTCTTCTCCAAAGCTACCTTTTGGATCAAGGAGTAAAAAAAATCTACATATTAACAACTTCTCAGGTGGTGATTACTTGCTTCATTTAATCACAAGTCCAGAATCTAATTAAACATTTGAACAAAATAAATAATTGAAGGTCTTCAGGATTTTGTAATTCATTTTCACTTACGTTAGTTTATGCAGTTTTCAATACAGTCTCTTGATACCAATAGACTCCATGAGGTACAGATACTAGTAATAGTTTCTGCAGATAAGAAAACAAGGCCATATAGATGAATAGAATTGTCTAAGACCTCTCCACTACAGTCCTTTAAGATAAAGGCACACATATTCTTCAAACAAAAGTGTTTCCTCTTTCCACTGTGAGGCAGTGCAGGAAATCAATGACCAAATGCAACTGAGGGGAAAACGTAGGTGGAACCTCCTGTTCTGCTCTGCAGCTACCCTCAGCACCTGCATAACTGCCTCTGCTGACACCCCAGCTCTGCTCTGCTGACACCCCAGGGGCTCCCTGCACCACGTTCACTGCTGGAGTCTGTGCATCTTCCCTGCGCAATGGATGTTAGCCCATTTTAAGATAATGAGAGGGAAGATTGGAGAAGAGGAGGAAATGGTTTGAGAATATATATGTAGCAAAGAACAGAGATGGTATCTAACCCTGGGATTGTTTGACTCCACAGTTCTTGCTCTTGACATTTAAGTTTAAACTATAGAGATTCATAAGTCGATAGCGTTCCAGTTCCTGCGGCTCACACATTAGGCAGCTGCACCCTCTGCCTAAAGTGTGTGGGGCTTTCCCTATGCACTCACAAAAAAGCTCACAGGGTCACAGGGTGAAGACCCAAAACAGTCTGTGTGCAAGCTGAGGAGCAAGGAGGCCAGTAGGTGGATCAGTCCAAGTCCCAAAACCCCAAAATTAGGGAAGCCAACAGTGCAGCCTTGTCTGTGGCCGAAGGCCCGAGAGCCCCTGGCAAATCACTAGCGTGAGTCCGAGAGTCCAAAAGCCGAAGAACTTGGAGCATGATGTTCTATAGCAGGAAGCATCCAGCACGGGAGAAAGATGAACGCCAGAAGACTCAGCAAGTCTGCTCTTCCATCTTCTCCTGCCTGCTTTATTCTAGCTGCACTGGCAGTTAGATGATACCCACCCAGATTGAGGTGGGTCTGCCTCTCCCAGTCCACTGACTCAAATGTTAATCTCCTTTGGACACACCCTCACAGACACACCCACCGTCAATACTTTGCATCATTCAATCCAATCAAGTTGACACTCAGCATTAACCACCACAAATGTAATAGTAATTGCAAAAGTAAGATGACAGCACAATTGTATAACCATGCCTGACCATAAGCTCAAACCAATCAACTCTCTGTTTAGAGGTAGAGAAATTTAAGCTGAAGGTGTTGGGAAGAACCATCCAGATTACCAAGATAAATCAATGGAAGTCATCAACGGCTCATTTAAGACATTTTATCACGTACAAAGCCACAAATTCTTCTATTTCAACGTTTCCAAGTTTTATGATTATGAGGGTATTTGTGTGTTTCCCAGCAGTACAAAGGTGCAATTATCACTAGTTTATATTGTATCTCTTTAAGGTGCATATCACGCTGCTTTGATACACAGGTACATTGTGAAATGATTGCTACAGTTACCTTTTACACGTGTCATAAAAACACCTAAAATCTACTCTCAGCAAATGTCCAGACTACAATATTATTAACTGTAGTCCTCACACTGTACGTTATGTTCCTAAAACATATTCATCCTACATAGTTTACATTTTCTATGCTTTGACATATATCTGTGCTCATATCCCAGCCCCAGCATCTGGTAAGCACCATTCTACTCCCTGTTTCTACATACCTAAGTTTTATCTTTTGTTTTAGATTTCACACGTAAGTAAAATCATGCAGTACTTTTCCTTCTGTGTTGCTTTTTTTATTTAGAATACTGCCTTCCTTTGGTCTACCCAAAAATCACTACCTTGATAATAAGATATAATAATAATATAACAATAATAATAAATATATCTGCGCCTTCATTTTCATTGCAGCATTATTCGTAATAGGCAAGACGTTGTGCTTACCAAAGTGTCTGTTGGCAGAGGAATGGATAAATGAATTGTGATATATATACATATACACACATATGTTTGCATAGCACACACACACACACAAACAATGGAATATAATTTAGCCCTAAAAATATCACTCTTGATAGTATTTTTACCCATATCATATGAGATGATACTATAAGAGACTAAATGAATTACCACATCACTGGTTCTACACTATCAAAGAGAGAGATTTTCCCTGAAATCAAAATATTAAACAGAATGTCAACTAACCAATATAATTGGGTACAAATGTTCCTGAAATCAGAGGGAATTCGGAACACGGATTTTTTGTTCTCCGACATTCTGAAATGGACAGGCATGATCCAGCATACAGCTGAGTTGACTCAAAAATAAAATCTGGGACAGAATAAAAAGGACTAAGATAAAACTCTACAGTGATTTGATTGTTTACAGAGATTTAAATTCTGAGAAGAGCCCAGCTCCTTCTAAAAGCAGATGTGATTTTAATCTAAATTCTTCTGTGCCCACAGAAGTGCTGTTCTTTCTTTTTTTTCAAATAATATATTTTATTTACCTAGCATGTCAAAAATAGTACCATTTTCATATGTGATCTAAGTATAATTTTTCATGGACGTAAGGAAGGAAACATCACACACCGGGGCCTGTCGGGGGGTGGGGGGCTACGGGAGGGATAACATTAGGAGAAATACCTAATGTGGGTGACGTGTTCATGGGTGCAGCAAGCCACCATGGCACATGTATACCTATGTAACATACCTACAGGTTCTGCACATGTACCTCAGAACTTAAAGTATAATCTTTTTTTTAAAGAAAAAGAAGTGCTATTTTCTAATCTAATATTTTTTACTCTCTTCACAGAAAAAAAAATAGAAGTAAAGTCCCTATATATTTCTTCATCAAATTAATTACATGGGCACGTGTTTTGGCTCCAAATGACTATAATTTTCTCTGCAATTTCTCTGAGTTTCTAAACTCTAATGGGAAGCAGTCTTTGTACTAGAGAAAAACTTCAAATTCCATAAATCGAGATGGAATAGCAGAGTTGTTTGCTTTTGTATGGGTTTGTATATTTAATGAAGCTCTAGATAAGATAATGGGATTCACTTCTGATGCACATTCAAAGATATTTCTGGGCCTTCCACCATCAGCCTGTTATGATTAATATACCTAAAGTCGACAGAGACACACACATATAAAATAGTAAATGCTTAAATAAAAAATGTTATGTATAGCCATATAATTTAAATGTTCTGTTTTTGTCACCAAGAAAGAGGTCTAGGAGAATCTTCTGTGGCTAAATATTGGACAGAAGGCTTCTGAAAAATCCAGAGATTGCTGTCGGAAAGCAATTAAGCTGGAGAAATTACATTAGAGGAGAGCAGATGCCATATTCAAGCCAGTTCCCTATTTTTCATGCAGTTGGGGCTCGTGGGTCTTTTATTTCCTAATAAACAAAAGATTGACAAACACCTGTCCTTTCCCTCAGCAGGTAAGGTGTTTATTAGAGGAGTAAAGGCAACATCATGAACAAGTGAGCTCTCCTCTTCGTATTCTAAGTTAAGAGTAAAAGAAGTTAAGAGTAAAAAGAAAATCGAGGAATTTAGAATGTTTATCCCCTTTTAGATTGAACTTCACCAACAGCCTAATGCGACTTTTACATGGTCTTTTAAAGTCCATTGTCCTTACAGAGGGGCGCCCACGTTGGCAACAAACCTTGTCTAGTGGCAACGACCGAGTTTTCTTATCTATTTGTGCTGTCTGCCAATCAAGCGAGCTATTTTTTTTTCTTCTTTGGGGCGATCAAAACATGACCAAAACACTATGCATAATTAGACAGAACCGTGGTTTAAAACATCACAGAAATCATATTTCTCTAATTTTCTCATGCGCTAAATCCACGGAGGTCAAAAGTTAAGTACTTTTTTAAATTTCAAATTTTATCATCAGCAGGGTCCTGAACTGTGTGTGCGTGTGTGCTTTTTACCTTGCCATATTTTAGCTTTTCAGATTTTTTTGCTCTTGTGCTTTATAGAAATGTGTCGATGACTTTACCTCCTCTTTGACAATTTAAAAATGTCTTTCTGTTTTCAATTTAAGGATTCATTTCACCATATGGTCTGTTTAGCCTGATAAACCCTCCTGCCCATTATGAAATAATTGTAGCTGTAGAGAACCATCCGTATCTCTGTAGGTGAGGTTATGCCAGTGTTTTCATGTGCACTGACCTCTTCTCCTACTCCAGGAATTTATCACCGAGCAGTCAATTTATTTTAAATCTGCAACCTGGTGTATAGGAACTATTTGTCATGATGTATGTAGCCCAACAGATCATTTTTGTTCAGAAATGTGACTGTCGTACTCAAATCCATTCTTCTGGGAAGCTGGAGTCAGGCAAACATCTATGTTCCTTATGGATGGTGTCGCAAATCAATGCAATGGCGTTCTCTCAGATTAACACAGAATTAAGCATAAACTATTTTTCAAGAGTCATATAGACCTTCAGAGCAACAATGCAGAAGGCAGATTTTAATGTTGGTGATGCATAGTAACATTGTCGCATGCCAAGATATTTTATTTTGGTGTGTGTTTAATTTCTAATAAAATTATTCTGCCTCCTACATTACTAAATTTGAAATTCTTGTTGGATTTTGCTATTACTCATGTTCATTTCAATTTGGGCCATAAACATAAGCCACCTAAAAAGTTGTAAAATGTTGCATATAGTGAGAAAAAAGCAATGAAAAGGCTTTTGGAAATGCTCTATTCCGCCAGCTCCCTCACTCTGATCATCCAGGGATACCTTGTCTTCTTCTCTTCTCTCCCAGAAACGCACACACCTTTCTCACCCTGCCATACACCGTCTTCTTTCTGCCACCTGGCATAGCTCCACCATCCTGTCGACCAATCCTACCTGTTTCTTAGGGCCCAACTTTCTGATGGAGATAAATAGATCCATGAATGATAATTAGCCATTTGCTCATTTGCTTATTGAATGCATATATCTCATCTCATGCATGGCAAAGCTTTCTCTAGGGGATGGGGTTCCTCAGCGATCACATGTTCTAATGTTTGGGAAAGAAGAAAATCTAAAAATAATGCATAAATAATCTTTTATCTAAAATATTTTCTATTTTTACATCATTAAACAAAGTGATGAAACATAAATCAATATTTTCCAACTGACATAAAGGTTGGAAGATGACGAACAAGATGTTCTGTCCCAGTTGGAGAAATAGCAACATCCTGTCTATGTTCTGGCCATTCTTGCCATGACTGTGATTTCTAATTAGTTGATTTATTGTTTGTTGTGGCATTTTCTAACTTAAACTCTAATACATCAATGGTTTCTGAGATTTGACCCAGAAACTCAAAATGTGCGTTAAAAGGAAGCCATATTTTGCTGAGTATTTAGAATAAACATTACTGTACTTTAGTAGTAAACAAGTACGTGGGATTCAAAAATTCATATCTCCAAATTTGACTATTCTCAAGAAACCACAGGTATAGGAGGGACAATTATGTTGATGTCTGAATGCATACGTTCTTTGGTGGTTAACCAACCTCACTCACCATCCAGGGTCTGCATTCTGGTGAGACCCCCGCCACCCCAGGCCATGTCACATGCATATTTACGCCTACTGGATAAACAACATCCTGCTGTCTGTGTAAAAGAAAATGGCACAAAGAACTCAACCTCTAGTGAGGGTGACAGAGGCAAAGACAATATCAAAGATTTTAAGCAGCTGGTGGTCCCGTGCCCGAAAAGAGAGATGTTCCATAAATAAAATAATCAAATGTCAAATGACTCAGCACTGAATAAAGGTTAGTACGCTATATCCTTGTAGGACAAAGAAAAACGAGCACACAAAATGGTTACTTTTTATGATTAAAAATAAAGAGTCATGCAAAAAACAAGACCCTTTTGCAAGTTGAAAAGGCAGTTGAATGTGGGTTGCGAATCCATGAGAGAAACTGAGTAACAGATGGAGACGCGGCCAGGGCAAACCAGAAGCATATGCAGAATTTTCCTGTGATAAACTGCTTAAAAAAGAGCCACAAGCAATTATTGGTTGTTTGGAAATGGCAAGAAACACGTCTCTCCCTAAAGAATGCCTGTAACAATAGTAATAATAATTGTAACAATGTTAATAGCATGGGTAATAAGTGTAATAGTTGTCATGTGCCAGCCACTGTTCCAAGCTCTTCACAGGGAAAAATTCATTAAATAGTTCATGATTAGGAAAAGAGTTATAGTTGTTTTTGCAGCTCTCAACATCCAGACAAATTATAATTTTAATATATGCTGCTACCATCTGGCTGCAACCACCAATAGTACCAGACATCACAGCTACTCTTTACTGATCTAGCCCATGTCAGGCACTGCGATTGTCTTTCTGTATGTCTTTCCTCACCAAATTCTTATGGCAGCACAATCTGATACAAACTGCGCAGGTAATGATGTAGTATATTGTTGAACAATTACAGTAGAAAGCTATATTGGACATTTATAAATAATTCATACATTTAAGCCTTTATAAAGTAATTGTGTATACAGACTACTTGCCACAAAGTCAAGTGCCCTGTTGATAATTTTCATAACACTCTCTGCATCTCCATAGTTCTTATCTGAATTGCAATCACTTAACTTTTCTTTGTTCAATTTATCTCCTACTCCATCTTTCTATGGACGCCGTATAAAAAGGGAGCATGTATTCCTTGTGATCTTTGTATCACTAAAATCGAGCAGAGGCACGACACACTTTATACCATCTTAACCGTTTTTAAGTGCACCGATCAGCAGCGTGCAGTACATTCCCCTCTCTGCACAGCAGAGCTTCAGATCCTTTTCATCCTGCACAACCAAAACTTGGCTTGCAGTAAACCATAATTCCCCCTACTTCCCCCAGGCCTTGGCAACCACCTCACTGCTTTCCATTTCTATGATTTTGACGACTTTAGGTGGTTCGTAGAGTGGGACCATATGCTATTTGCTCTTTTGTGGCTGGCTTTATTGCACTCAGCACAATATCCATTCATGTGGAAGTACATGACCAGATTGTTCTATTTTTCTGAGACTGAAAAATATTTCAGAGTTGGAAATATCAGCAATTCACTTAGGACTAACTATCATGGAGGGACCCGTCAGGAAATTAAGAGAAATCAGTTGGATATATGAACCTTGAGTACAGGGAAGAATCCAGGATGAACATATAATTTGGAGACTTATCAGCATTACATACTATTTATGATAGTAGGTGACTCCTCAAAAGAATGGGAGGAAAGAAAGAAGACAAGAAGTCTTGGGGCTGGATTTTGGCACAGTTTACCATTGAGAAGATGACGAGGAATTAATAAATCAGATTGAAAGGAGAAACCCGAGATGAAGGAGAGATAAACGAGAAGTGTGTAGTATCCTAGAATGTACATAGTTCCTAATATTTTGATATGGTGCACAGGCTTTGGGTAATTTACTTTTTTTTAATATATGTAAATATGTCAGTAGGATAACTTACTATACTAAATTTGTTCAATCAAGAGTGTGTGTTATTAGGGTACCCGCCAAAATGTCCTATAAAGAGGGCACCATTTATAACCCCACTAATGATGGAAGAGAACGCATGTGTCCCCACCTGTGGAAAACACAATACAAAATAAAATGTTTTGATCTTGGCAAACTGGATTGTAAAAACAGGCAATATTTTCAGTTTATGTGTTTTAGAGACATTTTCTTTTTTTCTTCTTTAAGATTTTTAAGCTTCTCATTCATTCCTCTGTAGTGAGTTGAGTTATGCGCACAGTTGAATATATTGCCATGGAAGAACCTTCTATCTGTTAAGGAAATGAATCTTCTATCTCTGAAGAATATTACAAATGTTTCTCTATAAGGTGTCACTTGTTTTTCCCTCTCTATGTGCATATATGTGTGTTTCTATGTTGAAATTCCAAATTTGTGTGCAGCCAAATTTAACCGCCTTACCATTTATAGATTTTTTTTGTTACATTAATATTATGAAAAGGATTATTCCTCTTTTTACTTCCACTAAATGTATCGGGCCTTTTTTTTTTACACCTTTGATCATCTTTGAATTTATTTTGGTATAAAGTATAAGTCAGAAATGTAAAATTTTACTTAATTTTGCCTTTAGCCACCAAATTGTACCAAATATTTACGGCATGATATTTTACCTGCTGATCTGCAGTGTTACTTTGACAAATCTACTCAGTTCCCTCCTTTATTTCATATTATATTAACACTTCTGGAACTTCCCTACGCATGGAGTCTACACATCTGGGTTTCCTTGCAGTTAGGTCCTGGTTGATAAGTTATGAACAGAAGTGATGTGTGTGATTTCTGGGATGAATAACTAAATGGAAGGATCACATTCCTATAACAATGGGTCAGATCCCTATATGATTCTGAGTCATATCCCTATATGATTCTGTCATAGCCCTATAACAATGGGTCATATCCCCATATGATTCTGAGTCATATCCCTATAGCAATGGGCTATATCCCTATATGATTCTGAGTCATATCCCTATAACAATGGGCTATATCCCTGTATGATTCTGAGTCATATCCCTATAGCAATGGGCTATATCCTTATATGATTCTGAGTCATATCCCTATAACAATGGGTCATATCCCTATATGATTCTGGGTCATATCTCTATAAGAAAGAGTCACACCCCTATATGATTCTAGGTCATAACCCTACACGAATGGGTCATATTCCTGTATGATTCTGGGTCATATCCCTACAAAAATAGGTCTTATCCCTAAAACAATCAGTCATATTCTTATGTAATTCTGGGTAATAACCTTCTAATAATGGGGCGTATCCCTATAACAATGGGTAATATCACTATAATAAAGGGGTATATGCCCATATAACAATGGGCCATATCCTTATGTTATTCTAGGCCATATTCCTATAACAATGGTTCGTATCTCTATACGATTCTGGGTCATATCTCTAAAACAATCAGTCATATCTTTATGTAATTCTGGGTAACAGCCTTATAATAATGGGTACTATCACTGTAATAAAGGTTCACATGCCTATATAATTCATGGTCATATCCCAATAACAATGGGTTGTCCCTATAAAAATGGGTGATATCCCTACATAATTATGGATCATATCCCCATAACAATGGGCTGTATCACTATATAATTCTGGGTTATATCCCTATAACAATGGTTTATATCCCTATAAGAATGGGCCACATCCCTATAACAATGTTCATACCTGTAACAATGGGTCATATCTCTGTAACAATGTATCCTATCACTGTAACAACATGTTGCCTCCCTATAACCATGTGTCATATCATTATAACAATGTGTATACTTGTAACAATGGGTCATATCTCCATAACAATGTATCCTATCCCTGTAACAGCACGTTGCATCTCTATAACCATGGGTCGTATCCCTATAACAGTGTGCATACCTGTAACAGTGGGTCATATCTCTATAACAATGTATCCTATTCCTGTAACAACGTGTGGCATCCCTATAACCATTGGTCATATACTTATAACAATGTGCATACCTGTAACAATGGGTCATATCTCTGTAACAATGTATCCTATCCCTGTAACAACGTGTTGCATCCCTATAACCATGGGTCATATCCTTATAACGATGTGTCATATCCTTGTAACAATGTGTCATTTCCTTGTAACAATGTGTCATGTCCCTATAACAATGGGTCATATCCCTATATGATTTGGGGTCTTATCCTTATATCAATGACTCATAGCCCTATACTATTCTGAGTCTATTTCCTACAACAAAGCTGCTTGCCCTCCTCTGGCCTCTCACCCCTTGGAAAACAGACATGGTGATGATGCTCACTTTAAACAGAGGACAAAAGTCATTCATTAAGAGATGGCAAGGGAGTATGACAGAAGACCCTGGGCCAGATTATATCAGGGGATCAGAGGTGGTGCCTGCTCTGAATGGCCCTTCTTCTGGGCTCTGAAGGGGAAAACAAAGTAAATGTATAGTGTTGAGGATTGAGGGATTTTGTATCCATATAATATGAGTATATATGCATATATATTAGCCTATACATAATGCATAAATCGGTATCTGAAAGTGTGGCATTGACATTACAAAACTTAAAATACATGTCGTGTTAAGCCAGAATAGACAAAACTTTTACTCTAGAAAATTGATTATAATGGTTATGCCATATGAAACTTTTTTGTTTGTTTTTTTGTTTTGTTTTGTTTTTTTTGTTTTCTAATTGTAGCCTGCAAACCCTTGGAAGGCAGAATTCTTCTCTATTGAGCCTGCAGCACTGAGGGAGAGAGCAGAAAAATCAATCTACATTTTTGTTTTCACTGTCTGTGGCTGCTTAGCAATAAAATAGGTCAAGATTAACGCAAGAACTGGCCAGCAGGAAAACAGAGATGGAGTGGATTACTGTTTAGCAAAGGAATTTCTCTTAGTCCATGTCAGAAAATGAAAGCGAAGATTCTATACACTTAACGATTGTAACAAGCCCTTATACTTAACTGTATTTCTAAGGAAGCACTTTTTAAAAAAATAGTTAGAATTATTTTATTTTATGGAAATAGGATTTATTCAATGTTTTGGATATTCAGCTTTTTATTTAAGTGTAGGGGTCATCTATTTTTCATTTATTCAAACCTCTCTGGTTTTTCTCTTTCTGATAATAGGAACTTTTTTTTTCCAATATAAAGTATAATGGTAGTTTGCACAGATTAAACTTCTTACATAAGCATGGAAATATGTATTTCTTTACATATTGTGTAAATTTTTGAACATATCAACATAAAATTGTTTATATAATATAATCTTATGTACAGCATCTGTAATACTATCATTTAAGGCTTACTTGTTTTTTCCTCTTTTTTTTTACTTAATCCATTTAACTAGGAGCTCAAGAAAGTATATTATATTTTTGATATTTTTCTTCTCTTCTTGATGTGTTATTGATTCATCTCAATACATTAGTTATCTATGTTTATTGCTAACAAAAATTGAGAAACATCAAATGAGAAAAAAAATAACCTCGCCTCTACACAGGACATCAGGAAGTAAAAACTGTTAACATATTTAGGTGTAAAAATGAGTAAGTGTTTATGTATGTAAAAAGATTTCATTACCACTAAATATATTGTATTGCCTAAATCTAAATTTAATAGCCACATAACATTTCATCTTATAAACACGTGAATTATTTAAACCTAACTTGGAGCAAAAGTTGTTAATAATGATTTTAAATAATGTCATGAAGAACAATCTCATAAAAAGTATAGGTGAAATTAAAATTATTTTGCCAGGTTCCCAAAAATAATCCCATTTGAATTTGAATTGAAATGACATTTAAACTATAGTATAAAACTGAAAAGTATTCCCACACTTGCAGTATTAAATTTTCCCATCCTGAAGCATGGTACCTCTTTTTTATTAGAAATTTCTTTTATGTAGAACTCCTCAGTGCTTCATATCAGCAAATTTCTTTTATTTCTTTTCTTTTACTAGAATTTAAGTAATTATTCTATTTATTTTACTGGCCAACATCATCAGTGTTGTTGATGGTAAGCTCCAATCTCCCTTTTGCTCTCTCTCTCTCTCTCTCCATTCAATGACTATTCTTAGGAGCACAGTTAGTGAGCTCAGAAATAATTACAAGCTATATTATACTTTTTCCCCTAAATTTTAATGATATTACATCAATAGATACTGTAAGAGTATCTCTATGGCAATAGTGTTGAAAGCGAAAATAATAAATGTCTTGAAAATTCATATATATGACTATATTTTTCCTTTTTAACCTTTTGTATTATTAGGAATTATATATAATATTGACCTATCTTTTCATTCCTGGTACTCTTGGTGTAAGAGTCACATATTCAAGGGTGTCGTGTAAATGTTTACAGGTGGATTTGGTTTTCCCAGACTTTATTTGGCAAATGATTCCCTGGATAATGGTTGAACAGTGCTGTAACAGAATAGGATCATCTCTGCATGTAACATGACAGGAAGTCACTAATTGATGACTTCCTGTCTAGTAGGAGTCTCTTAGATAATTATACATATGTAAATAATTATATTTGGAAAGTTCTATGAGAAAGAAGTGTGTGCAATGTGAGAAAAGAGCTTGGCCTTGGGCCGGGCGTGGCAGTTCACGCCTGTAATCCCAGAACTTTGGGAGGCCGAGGTGGGTGGATCACCTGAGGTCAGGAGTTTGGACCAGCTTGGCCAACATGGTGGAACCCTGTCTCTACTAAAAATACAAAAATTAGCTGCTGGTGGTGGCAGGCGCCTGTAATCCCAGCTACTCGGGAGACTGAGGCAGGAGAATCACTTGAACCTGGGAGACAGGTTGCAGTGAGCCGAGATCGTGCCACTGCACTCCAGCCTGGGCAACTTGACTAGTTACTCTTCTTTCCTTACTGAGTTGATGGAATTTTAACTTGTTATTGATACTGAAGATTCTGGCTATGTATGATATCCTTCAACTTTGTTCCTGTTGTCTGTTATCAATTAACTAGTTTTGACAGGGATAAGTTACTACTCTTTCCTTCATTACTTATGCTTTTGTATCTTTGTCTAGAAATTCTTTTCATCTCTATGCCATAAATATATTTTTCTGAATTTCTTTAATATTCTTAAATTTTTGTAATTCTCATTATGTCTTCAATGCTGCTATAAAATGCATATAAATACATGAATAAATAATTTTTCTGCAACTCTCGAGATGTTCATATGATTATACTTATTTATTGTGACAATGTGAATTATCTCAATTCATTTTTAATTAATAAACCGATCTTGCACTTATGATCCAACTTGTCATGATGAGTTATCCTCTTTCCTGTGGTCATATTACGTGTGTGAATTCTGTGCATGTTTTTGCATCTCTTTCATGAGTGAGATAAATTTCCTTTCCTCTGCTCCTCTTCAGAGGATCCAGCATGACGAACGAACCGGCCTTGTTAAAATCTGTCCAGACACCTCACTTGCTTTTTGTTTATTCACTCAGTGTATTTGTCTGAGATGGACTTTTTTCCCCACTGAAATATTTGGTTCCATTGCCTGGTGAAGCCATCTGCACTTGGAAATTTTTGTGGAATTTCCCCCTCCCTTCTCATGAGCTAACTTTAAATTGCGGATTTAATTTTGTAAGTAGTTTTGCAATTTTCTAGTTTTTCTGATGTTAATTTTGCTAAGTCATACTTTGAAATGCCTTTTGAATAGAAATTGTTTTTAATGCACTTGCATCTAGTTTTTCAAATGTTCCATCTGTCGTCTTTTTAAAGACTCCAAGTTTGGGTATTCTTTTTCCTTCTTGACATGGTGACCTTAGGCCTTCTCTATTTATGTTACCACTTTCTTTAAGCTTAATTCTATTTGAAAATCATTGTCTCTTCTCTTAGCAATCTAATATTACATTGAAATCTTTATTACATTGAAAATAAATTTTATACCAAATTTAAAGATTTTTTCAAATGTTGCAATGTTATAAAACTTTGTTTCTTTACTACAATCTCCCACACTGCTTATTATCTAAACCAGAGCTGCTCAGTAGCAATTTTCAGAATTATAGATTATTCTATAGATGCGCTGAACCCTGAAGTAGGAACTGGCCTCATATGACCATTGAGCCCTGGAAGTGGGGTAGGTGTCATTATTTTTTGAATTATTTCATTTTAATTTATTTACACAACTTTAAATAACCACAAGTAGCTAATGACCACTGTACTGAACTTTGGAGAATTCTCAAAAATCAAACATGTAAATAAACATAATCAAACTAATTAACCAAAAGTTATTCATTTTGAATTTTAGACTATTGAGGTGACTCTTGAATTAGAATAATAAAATAAATTGCATAATACAAATATGTTTAGTTAGCATGGATAGAGAGACAAGTGTATGCTATTGTTTTCTAATATCTTAAATATTAATAATTTAAAAACCACCGACATAAAATTTTTGTTTCAATTCATTATTACATGAAGTGATATATCTTATTTATCAGGTAGAAACATATGTCTGAAGTAGAGACTTGCAGCTTGAAAAAAATATCTGAGTCTTTTTGAAATTAAAATTGCTCAATCATTTTCATGAAAGTCTTTATCTCAAGTCCTGTCAATGTGAGAAACGCTTTCATAATACAAGTGGCGACGTATGAATGGAGGTACACAGCTGTTGGCCTGTGAGATGCCACTTAAATCTCAGGTGTCCAAGGTGTTCTCTGGGCTCACCTGTGGACCACTTGCAGCCACCTTGCTTGGTGCCTGGAGGATGAGAGGCTGCTGCGTCTCCCCGCCGGCCCAGCCTCACCCTGGTGATCCATGAGGTGCCCTGCTCACACCACCTGCCACCAACACCAAGCAGATCGTGCCACTGGGAAGAGGCATCTAGGTCATTAGAGGACAGTGTCAAGGGGGAAGGAGACCCCTTGAAGAGTGCTGGCTCTCACACCTCACTGGTGAAGTGCAGTTGCCCTGGCAAGGGTCTTCGTTAAGTTACCGCATGAGCCAGATAACGTCTGCAGGAGAGGGAGGGCAGGGGCAGGACCCCCATGTGGAGCGCCCTAGCAAGGAGAGGCCAGGACTGGTTCAGTTCCCTGGGGCCTCTCTGCTTCCCACATTAATAATATGAAGTTTGAGTTACATAGTTTCTATAAAATCACATAATCAGCATATAATGACCGTTTTTTCTCTCTCTTCCTTTCAAATCGCTTCATAGCTGATCATGGGGCTTCTGTGTTCATGGCAAGCAACGCTCTCAAAGGATCGCCAGGTCAAGCTAATACACAAGCCATGGATTTTGGTTTCTTGCTTTTCTTCTTCAAATCTGTTGCTTTCCCCCTTATTCTTGTGTCTTGTGTTGCTTTAAAAATTATTTAGGATTTCGCAAATATAAAATAATTCAATAGTTTTTCTACACAGAGAAAATAAATTGCCTAAAGTAAAACGCATGAGAACCCATTTACAAAATAAACAAAATAAGGACCTCAGCTTGAATAACCTCATTGAACTATGCAAGTGAACTGTGGAAAATATCATAAAACGTGGCTTTACTGGAATTTTTAAAATAATACTCAAGTGTCATGCAATGATTTAGTTCAGAAAGAGCAATTATTTTTAAGAGGACAATTCTCTCAAATTATATGTATTTTAAAAAGAAGAACTTGTCCTGACAAGGCAAAGTAAAACAAGAAAACAAGGGGAAAAAAACCCTAAAATAATATCGTTCTAAAACATGCATAAATAAATTGAATACAAATTATTTTAATATGTACAATCTCATCATTGTTGTTCTGTAGTGACTCACCTTCTGTATAAAACTTATCTAAAGCAGATTCTGCATTGTATATATAAAAGGAAACAGCACAAAACAGGACAGGACTTGAATTATTTAATAAATGTGACTAGAATATTATTTTTATGAAAAAATATGTACTAACACTATTCATCATATAATTCTAGGTGGGTTAGAGAGATAAAGGAAAAATCAAACCATAAAAAGAGAAGGAAATGTTGATTAATATTTATCTGATTTCTAGATGTGGAGAGCCTGCTGAGCTTAAATAAATGAAACCTGATTTCAACCATAGATTATTTCCCGTGACTGTCAGCTGCTCCGTAAAAACCCAGCTTGGAAACAGGGTGGCGGTTGGGGATCCCACCAGGAAGGAAAGGCTTGAGCAGCTCAGTTATTTCCATGTGAGGACACAGCCCTGTCTCCTTTGTGACTTAAAAAAAAAAAAAGTAAAATAAAACTTCCATTAGGTACTATTTTAGCAAAGATTGGTTTTAAAAGATACACAATTCGGTGAAAATAAGATTTTAGTATAAATTTTCCTAAATAAATATTGGCAAATATAATGGTGAAATCCTGTCAAGGGTTTCAAAACTGGCCAGGCGCAATGGCTCACGCCTGTAATCCTAGCACTTTGGGTGGCTGAGGTAGGTGGATACCTGAGGTCAGGAGTTCGAGACCAGCTTGGCCAACATGGTGAAACCCTGTCTCTACTAAAAATACAAAAATTAGCTGGGCATGGTGGCACGTGCCTGTAGTCCCAGCTACTCAGGAGGCTGAGGCAGGAGAATCACTTGAACCCAGGAGGCGGAGGTTTGAATGAGCTGAGATCACGCCACTGCACTCCAGCTTGGGTGACACAGCAACATTCTGTCTCAAAAAGAAAAAAAAAAAAAAAGAGTTTCAAAACTCAATCGGCTGCTTTGTGGGATTTAGAGAGGTCTTCCTGGATCTAATAAACTACTTGAGCTAAATATGCTCATCTTGGGGCAGGATGTTCTCCTTCTGTAAGTCTCTAGAGGCAGTATATAGAATCCTTCAATATTTCTGAAAGTAACAGATGAGAGGTCAAATACACAGCAACTTCCTTTGCACTGAAGTTGCCACGGTAACTTTCTACCATGGGAAATTTGAGAAAGATTATTTTATTTGATGTCTTACTGTACATAATAAGCAAATACCAAAACAATGGTATTTAAATATCTTTTCTTTGGAGGGATAACATAAAGAATAAATGCCTCTTTTTGTTGAATTTCATAAAACAATGTCTACCACACTGGATATGGGTAGAGAAATGAAAAATGAAGAAAGAACCCACAGAACCTGAGCCATGGAACTAGAAGAGGTGGTACCCTCCTGTCCCATGCTAGAATTTCGGCGCAAGGGTCCCTAAACCACACCCCTGTATGTGAGTACCAAGGGTGATCCTGAACAGTGTGAGCTGCTCGTTTAATTCAGCCCTCATGACACCTTGTATCTCAACCTCTCCCTTTTCAGATGAAGAAGAGAGGCTGAGAGTTTGTCTTACCTTTGTTGCCAAGCGGGCTCCTGACTCTCAGAGCTCATAGATGAGCCCACACCTGTCGAATTCCATAGCCCCAGCCCTGCCCCTCACCGCACAGCCATCCACTGCATGCTTTTCCTCCTAGGCTAGACAGGTGGGAACCACTGCCCGGACAGTCAACTGTTCCCCCTCCTGCTTTCCAGACAGTGCCCAGCCTTGGTTCGGCCTGCCACTGTCCCCTGTGGACACCATGCCAGCCTTCATCTCTTCACCTCTCCTTGAGTTGATGCAAGACCCTGAGTAGCTTCTCACTCTCTTCAGTCTCCATATAACTGTGCCCATCTACCTCATCAGCCAGTGCCCAGGTGGCATGAACTTGGATGACTTGTGTACGTATTATTAATGACTGGATTGTCTTACATCATCCCTAAATTATTCCAAGGAGCTTCTATTTATCTTTCCATTAAGAAAATGACTGACCTGATGCCTATTTAGAGTTATTTTGTGTACCTAACACAATGCCAAGCAAACGCTCACTGGGCACGTTTTCAAAGTGGACGTCATTGATCTTTGATGGCTGTGTCTTCTTCTGCCTTCCACCCACACATGCAGTGCCTCTGACTTCTCATGGCCTGGTTTGGCCCTGTTCTACCCTACAGAGTTTATTTCTCCTAAGTCTAAGGGTCCAGGGTCTCCTGAATTCTTGTACTACTCAAACATATCCCTGGGCAGCTTCTGAGTTAAAACCACACTTTTCCCAACCTCCTTGTAGATAATCTAATTTCCTCCTTCCATAGGTAATATCCCTTCTTTTCCCCTATTCCTTTTTAACTGTCGTCAACTGCAAAGGGTTTTCCGCATCTTTATGATCTACAAGATCTCACATTTGTGATGAGGAAAAGACTCACATTTTGCATCAGGTAATGTTTTTCGATTAATGTGCTCCTGCCTCCCTGAAGCTTCTGAGGCTTCAGCCCATTCCCGAATTCTAGTCGAAGAAGCATTTTGGTGCTCCATTTTGGTTTCAAAGCAATTCATTGCCTGCTCTAAAGTGCTATAAAATGTTAGTGGCATGAATTTGGTAGCAGTGACCCAGGCAGCACGGCGAAGAACGGTGATGGAATTTGGGTAACACTAAATAAGAAAACAAAACTGATGCAACTTTAAAGTATTTAACATATCCTTGATACTCAATGAATATTTTATCTTTTCCTTGGGTGAAAATAATGAGGATAGTTCTGCATGCTACCTGAGAACAAATATGTAACACGTGTCTCCCTAACAAACATTTCCATTTAGAACTTCTAAGTATATGCACCGTGTGGTGCTAACCATAACTTTGCAGGAAATATTTACTGGTGATGCTATTTTTGAAAAAAATAATTGATATTATACTGGAAAACTTAAATAAACCAATTCAAATCTTATGTCATATATTAATTTCAAGCTCTGACTTTACTTCATGTATTCAGTGGTATACTCTGAAATCTACAAATAAAATGCTTATGCTGTTTCATTTTGACCTTCAGATATCTTTGCATAGAAGATACAGCCAAAACTCCTAAACATGAAATTCATAGTCACCATGGGAAACAATTTTTATAATTGCTTAGAATAACATAACTGTACAATAAATAAATAACTTAAGATTCAGCCAATTTTCAATGTAAATGAAATAACAGTTACTACAGGAATATTACATGTTAGTGAGTTTGCAATTGTCTATACCCCTTGCCATTAATAATTATTATTACATTTATAGCATGCCCAAAAAGATACTGTTTATTAATGCAAAATATTAAACATGAAAGAGGTTAAAGTTAGTCTGTTATATTAGATTTGATCATTTCAACCATAGTATTTTTCCCCAAATATTAAATCTACATCATATAATCTATGCATCAACATGAACTTTACAAGAAATCTACTTACTCTTATAAAGGCATATCACATATAATTGATTTTCATATTTAAGGATATATATTTAGTATATTTTAATATAATCTACGTATATAGGTTCTGCATTTGTGTATATACTGTTACCCTTCTGTATCCATGAGGAATTGGTTCCATGACTCCCTGTGGATACCAAAATTCTCTAATGCTCAAGTCTCTGATATATAATGGTGTGGCATTTGCATACAACCTATGCACAGCCTCTCCTATACTTTAATTCACCTCTAGATTACTCATAATACCCAGGTAAAGAGGACTCAGGGTATCCCTGCTGTGATACTAATTTAAAATGCCGCATTGACCATTTTGGGCTCACCCAGTGTCTTCTGCAACTGCACAGCATTATGGAGTCACATTCTCTGGACTCCTATTAGCTTTTCAAGATGCTGGAAAGTGTTGGGTTAGGAGCAGACAGAAGATTACACTGAGCATAAACTTGACTATCCTCTCTCACAAGATAACATCCCCCAAGAATGCTGACCTTTCCAGAATCACTGTCCTCTCCTATAACTTGTTTGTAGTTGAATTATTTTTAAGAAAAATAAATTTCTTGAACCAATACTCTGCTTTGAGCTCTCTCAGCTGTTTTAGACATGGCAGTCATCAAATAAATATCATGGAACTCTGAGGCTGGCACTTAACAGAACAGACAAGGTGGCTGGCATTTACTTAAACATTTCCAATGGTACAAAGTGGGACTTTAGTGAGGCCGTGAAAAGTCAAGTAACAATGGGAATGCTTAACTGAGTACAAAAAGCAAAGACACACATAGCTATATGACACAATTCTAATATTTAAGCATTTAAAATGATATTTAGAACATAAATAAATGATACATTTAATTCCAAGCCTTCTATAAAGACAAATTTAATTTGTACTCACTTGTTATTCTAATATTAAAACTCATCTAAATAATGAAAAGTTGTAATAATACAGTTTACCATTATGCGATTAAAATCATAGTGCAAATAATTTGGAGTGCTATTTTACTGAAAGAGCCCCAGAGATGATTATAGGTTCCTCAGTCAATACAGTGACCATCTCAAACTGCATGACACTAACATATTAGCCAAAGTGCATTTATTATAGCTTTTTACCAACCCATGCAACTCTGATTTAAAGTCATGCATTCTAATGTGTTTTGACAAGTAAATTGCTTGCCTTTTTTCCATGATAGCCAACCATATAAATAATGCATGCAAGGTAATAGCTGGAGCAATAATGTAAAAGTCAACCATGAAGCACAAGCAGCATGTTAATGATCAAGATGCCTTGGCCTCGTAAAAGCAAGCCACAGCCCAAAGAAAACCACACACCGGAGGCCACACATCTTTCCACACTATGACTAAGCTCATAGCTTTACTTTTTTCTCTCTCCTCCACACCTCCCCAATTTAAGACCTGAATGCTTTTTCTTAAGAAATATCAAGATTCATGATACTGTTCTGACTTTTATCTAACATTTGATATTACTTGGAATTGTTTTCTGAATAACATTCAGAAACAGAAACCATGCAGAAACAACTTCAGTTGTTTCTAAAGTACGGAAAACCTTCTTGAAAATGATAATTAAGGTAATTGTACAGGAGATAATTTTATCTTAAGGGTTTTTTTTAAATTTTCCCTAGCAAATCTCCCACAGTGGGCATCTTCCTAGATATCAAACCAAAAAATGAAGCAAAATGGAAATTGTCAATAATTATTCTTGTAGAGATCCTGTTGGATAATTTATGGAGTCTTCCTTATAGACTCTACTTTTGTCTTCAGTTTCACATTCTGGGTCAAATTTGAATTAAAATAACAACACACATATACATTCATGCTAACCATAGTGATTATCATCATCACCACCATCATCATTACCATTATCATAATCATCTTCATCACTATCACCATCATCACCACCATCATCACTGTCACCATCAACATCATTGCCATCATCATCACCATCATCACTGTCACCATCACCCTCATCATCCTCATCACCATCAACATCATCATCACCATGACTATCATCATAATCACATCACCATAATATCATCACCATCATCATTCTCATCATCACATAACCATCATTCACTATCATCCTCATCACCATCATCATCACCAACACCATCGTCATCACCCTCATCATCACTATCCCCATCAATATCATGTCACCATCATCATCAATACCATCATCATCACCACCATAATTATGATGATACAACCTCATTATCCTTATCTTCACAATCACCACCACCAGCAGCATCATCATCATCATTATTGCTCGTACTAAAGGCAAATCTGTACAGACAGTCCCACACCTTTATTGCTACTCCCCTGTTTTGTAATAACTCTAGCCCCAATGAAAAATTATACTGCATTTGTCAAATCATTGTAGTCTCCCCTCTTCCCTTATTATTTATTAATCTTAGAATAGTCATGTAGAAATATTAATATCACCAAATTTTTCAGTCTGTGCAGTTAAGCAAGACCACATGTTTGAACTGCTCTTAGAGCAGAAAAGATGAGTGCCATTCCTAAGATAAAGGCATCCAGTGCACAGTCTGGCTCTTCTTCCATAGTTACAGCATACCCTAGTGTTATCTATTTAGATCTCTGAGACAAAAATGGGCATAGTCTGAATTCTGAGTTACAGTTTAGAAAGGCATTACTGAGGAGAACCACTGGACCTACAGGAGATTTTGTGTGAGTGAATAGTAAACTCAAACGTATTAAACTTGCAAGAGAAAAGTGTTTGTGTGCCCACATCCAAACTTCTTAAGTAAATTATGAGTAATCTTGTCACTTATGTCCCTATTAGTCAAGCATTATTCTACCTGTAGCAAAAGCCATCTTGACCTTGCTTTCAGAGGAGAGGCCACTCATTATTACAAGTAGTAGTTTATTTGGGAAAACCTAATTATTCCCATTTAATTTTTTATTCATAATTTCCTTTCTGTTATTGCAATTATCACAAGCATTATTATTTTTTACTCTATCCCAAATAATATCTCAAACAAATCTATTAAGTATTTATTTGAAAGAAAGGGAAACTGAGATGCAAATATTTTGAATGACTAAGCAAATATCCTGCAGAAAGTTACATATAAAATGACATCTCCTGAGTTTCATTCATTTTTCAGAGCTCCTTGTCTACCATCTATGCTACCCAAACAATATGTTTGTCATACTTTCCAGCATTTTAGACATCTGATTTTCATGTGTGGAAAAGAAAACCAGGAGACTTCTGGGTTCCCTTCCAGCATGTGAGGAAATGGGAAGTCATCCCTCCCATCCTCACAGCAAGAAAAGAGCTGGACAAGCTGAAAATTAATAACTCGTCTTAGATCTGTCAGAGAACTGAGGTCACAGTGCAAATGGCTGCCCCCACAATTGGAGAAAGAGACAGGTAGATACAGGGAATCCAAAGTTATTGGAGCAGAAGTCCAAGAGCAGAAATCTCCATGGGGCTTAGGGAGGAAAGTTTAAACTGTAACTGATAAATTGCTGGAAGCTCAGTGGGGACAGATCTAAAAGGAAAGAAAAAGAAATCAAACTCCAAAAAAAGAAGGGAGCCTGCACTTTCATGAATTTTTCTTCCAGGAGTTCTACCATGTTCAGGTTGAAGATTGGAAAAAAAAATTCCCTCATGTTTCTAGCAGGGAGAGGGGAAAGTAGCCATTTTGGAATAAGCCAGAGCAGCTTCTTAACATGGTCGCCCCCAGGATAAACTATTTTAGCCTGGCCTATTGGGATTCTATGAAAGCCTTATCACCTGGGCAGAGGGCCACTCCTTACTCCATTCCCCCAACCCTTCCTATCACACCTTAGGGTGAGGGGGAGAGGAAGCCTCTGTAAAGATCCCATCTCAGGGGCACCAGCTCACTGAAAGACTAAAACCTAATCATGGGTCCATTGAGCTCTTCTGTCTCAACACTCACACTTCACTACCATGTCACTAAGCACCTGCAGCACTTTCTTTTATCCAGTCCACCATATCCAGCTTTCAACAAAAAATTACAAGGCATACTAAAAGGCAAAAAGCATAGTTAGAAGAAAGAGTATCAGAACCAATCTCAGATGTGGCAGGAATGGTGGAATTATCAGACTGGGAATTTAAAATGATTAAAATGCTGAAATTTCTAATGGAAAAAGTAGACGCAATGTGAGAACAGATGGTCAATGTAGGCACACAGATGGAAATTATAAGAAAAAGTAAAAGATGCAATGTCAGAAAGAAAAACATGGCAATAGAAATGAAGACTATCTTTTATGGGCTCAGTAGTAGATTAGACATGACTGAGAATAGAATCAGTGACTTGAAGAAATGTCAATACAAACTTCCAAAACTGAAAAGCAGAGAAAAAACGACTGAAAAAATGGGTGAAATATGTGAGAAAAAAATCAGATAGAACCTCAAGGAGAAATAGATGGACCCACAATTTTAGTTGAAGAATTCAACATCTATCTATCAGTAATAGATACATCAATTCAGGGGGCCAAAAATTAGTAATGACATACTTAAGCTGAACAGCATGATCAATCAACTTGATCTACTTGACATTTACAGAATATTTCACCCAATAAGAACAGAATACACATTGTTCTCAGGTTCACATGGATCATTTACCAAGATTAATCACCTTTTAGGTTATACAACACTCCTTAAAATTTCAAATCAATAAAAATTATAAAATGTATTCTCTCAAAAACCAAACTATTAAATGAGAAATCTATCATAGAAAGCTGGAAAATCCCCTAACACTTGGAGATTAAAAAACAAAGTTCTAGGCCAGCACAGTGGCTCAGGCTCATAATCCCAACAATTTGGGAGGCCAAGGCGGGCAGATCACTTGAGGTCAGGAGTTCAATATCAGCCTGGCCAACATGGTGAAACCCCATCTCTACTAAAAATACAAAAATTAGCCTGATGTGGTGGTGCATGCTTGTAATCTCAGCTACTTGGGAGGCTGAGGCAGGAGAATTGTTTGAACCCAGGAGGTGGAGGTTGCAGTGAGCTGAGATCACACCACTGCACTCCAGCCCAGGCAACAGAGTGAGAGTCTTCCTTAAAAAAAGAGAAAGGAAAGAATTAAAGAAAAACCCCAAAAACAAAAACCAAAGAAGTGGTAAATAACACACAGATTAAACAGGAAGTCTCAAAAGAAACTAAAAATATTTGGACTAAATGAAAATGAAGATAAAACCTATCAAAATTTGTAAGATGCAGCAAAAGTAATGCTTAGAGAGAAATGTATAGTATTAAATGCATGTATTGGAAAAAATATCTAAAATTAGTCTAAACTTCCATTTAAAAAAACATAAAAAGTAGAGCAATTTAAATACACAAAAAGAAGAAAATAATAAAAATGAAATTAAAAATCAATGATATTGAAAGCATTAAGCAAATCAACAAAACCAAAATTTGTCTCCGAAATGATAAACAAAATTGATTAACCTCTAGCTAGGTTATCTTTAAAAAAGGAGAGAAGATACAAATTACTAATATCATAAATTAAATATGTACCAATATGCTATTCCCATTATTATTAAATATATCATAAAGGAATATTTTTTTAAAAACTCTATGCACACAAATTTGATAACTTCGATAAAATTTGGACCAACTGATTGAAAGACATAATCTTCTAAAACTCACACAAGAAAAAAATGGACAATCTAAATATATTAAACACAATCTAAATAGTATCTATTAAAGAGATTGACACAATAATAAGCATCCTACCCAAAAGGAAAGCTTCAGGCCCAGACGGGTTCATGGTGAATTCTACTAAACATGTAAAGAACAAATTATTCCAATTCTGTACAATGTTCTTTAGAGGCTAGAAGCAGAGGAAGTACATTTTAACTCATTCTGTGAGGACAGCATTAGTCTAATACAAAAAGTGGACAAAGACGTTACAAAAAAAGAAAACTACTGACAAATATCTCTTATGAGCATAGATGTAAAAATTCTTAACAGGATATTAACAAACGAGCATAAAACACTAAATTTTATATTAGTATAAAGACAATTACACACAACAACTAAATGGAGTTTATTGTAGGTATGCAATTCATCCTCAATATTCAAAAACTAATCTAATCCATCACATCAACAGGTTAAAAAAGAAAAATTAGGTGGTCATATCAATAGGTCAAAAAACCCATTTGATAAAACCCAATATCCATTCATGAAAAAAAAGTGCAGTTAATGAAAAGCAGAGAAAAACTTCCTAAATGTGATAAAGAATATCTGCAAAAAACCTGTAACTAACTCACACATAATGGTGAGAAACTAGACATTTTTTCTGTGAAGTTCAGAAACAAGGCAAAGATGCTCTCTCTCATCATTTTTTCTACATTATTTAGGAAGTCCTAATGCGGCAAAGCAAAAGAAAAAAAACAGAAAAACACACAAACAAACAAAAAAAGCAAAAAGAAATGAAAGGTATCCCAGATTGAGAAGGAAAAAATGAAACTGCCTTTTTTCACAAATGACATAATTGTCCACGTAGAAAATCACAAAGAATTAAGAAAAAAACATCATGGAACAAACAAAGCTGCAAGATACAGGTTAATATACAAAAGCCAATCATTTTCCTATATATGTGCAATGAACAAGCAGAATGTAAAATTAAAAACACAATGCTATTTATATTAACACCTCCCAAAATGAAATACTTAGGTATAAATCCAACAAAATATGTCTAAGATCTATATAAGGAAAATTATAAAACTGTGACAAAAATCAAAAAGTACTAAATGAATGGAAGTGGTGTTTTAGGTGCATGGATAGGAAGACTCAATATTGTTAAGATGTTAGTTCCTCCTATCTTGGTCTATAGATTCAACGCAATCCCAATCAAAATCTCAGAAAGTGGACGTCAACAAGCTAATTCTAAAGTTTACATGGAGGAGCAAAGATCCAGAATTGGCAACACAATATTGAAAAAGAGGAACAAA
This sequence comes from Homo sapiens, assembly GCF_000001405.40. Taxonomy (NCBI): domain Eukaryota; kingdom Metazoa; phylum Chordata; class Mammalia; order Primates; family Hominidae; genus Homo; species Homo sapiens. The sequence continues at coordinate 2,032,526 of NC_000010.11, read as the reverse complement.
GTCAGAGAACTGATACCATTAAACTTCAAGGCAAACTGTAAAGCTTCAGCAATCAAGATGGTGCTATACTGGCAAAAGAAGAGATGGATAAAACCATAGAACAGAATAGAGAGCCCACAAATCAATTCACACAAATGTAGTCAACGAATGTTGAAGAGATAGCAAGAAAATTCAAGAGAGCAAGGGTAGTCTTTTCAACAAATGGTGCCAGGAAAAGTGAGCATCAACATTCAAAAATATGAATCTAGACATAGATTTAATATCACCACATAAATTAAGTCAAAACAGACTGTAAGTCTAAATGTAAAACACAAAAATGTAAAACTCCTAGAAGATAACATAAGAGAAAATCCAAATGACTTTGGGTTTGGTGACTTTTTTTTTTTTTTTGAGACGGAGTCTCGCTCTGTTGCACAGACTGGAGTGCAGTGGCATGATCTAGGCTCACTGCAACCTCCACCTCCTGGGTTCAAGCAATTCTTTGTCTCAGCCTCCCAAGCACCTGGGATTATATGTGGCCACCACCACGCCCAGCTAATTTTTTGTATTTTTAGTACAGATGGGGTTTTACCATCTTGGCCAGGCTGGTCTTGAACTCCTGACCTTGTGATCCACCCACCTCAGCCTCTCAAAGTGTTGGGATTACAGGCATGAGCCACCGTGCCCGGCCACGTGATGACTTTTCTAATAGAACAACATTAAAGGAACATTCAGGAAGGAAAAAAAGTCGCATAAACTGGATTTAGTTGAAATTAAAAACTTCTGATTTGAGAAAGGCACAGTCTAGAGAATGCGAAGAGAAGCCACAAATTGAGAGAAGGTGTTTGCAAATCACATATCTGATAAAAAGACTTATCCAAACTATAAACAGAACCTTAAATCTCAACAATAAGAAAATGAACACCCAATTTTAAAATGGGCAAAACATCTCAACAGACCCTGCAGCACATGTGATATACAAATGACCAGCATATGTAAAGACGCTCCACATCTAAGTCATGAGGGAATTGCAAATTCAAACGAGACATCATTATGTGTATATTAGAATGAGGAAAGCCCAAAATACTGACAAAACCAAATGCTGACAAGGATGTGGTATAACAAGAACTGTCATTCATTGTTGCTAGAAATGAAAAATAGTATAGCCACTGAGGAAGACAGTTCAGCAGTTTCCTGCAAAACTAAACATACTCTAGCCATGCATTCCATACACTCTTCACTATTTGTCCAAATGAGTTGACAACTTATAATTTACAGAAAAACCTGTACAAAAGATGCTTATAACAGCTTTATTTGTCATTGCCAAAGGCTGTTATCAAGTAGGAGATGCTTCACTTGGTAAATGGCTGAACAAGCTGTGCTGTGTCCATACAATGAGCTATGGAATCTGGGCTAAAAAGAAAGGAGTTATGAAGCCCTGAGAAGAGATGAAGGAATCTTAAATGCACATTGCTAAGTGAAAGAAGCCAGTCTCACCAAAAAGAAAGGAGTTATGAAGCCCTGAGAAGAGATGGAGGAAACTTAAATGCACATTGCTAAGTGAAAGAAGCCAGTCTGGAGGGCTGCAAATTGTGTGATTCCAACTCTAAGACATTCTGGAAAAGGCAAAACTATAGAGACAAGAGAAAGGTCAGTGGTTGCCTGAGGCTGAGGGAGGGAGGAATGCATAGGTGGAATATAGGATTTTTCAGGGCAGTGAAACAACTTTTTATGATACTGCAATGACAAATACATGTCGTTATACATTTGTTCAAACACATAGAATATACAACACCAGGATTAAACCCTGATGTAAACTATGGACTTTAGGTGATGATGCTGCATCATTATTGTTTCAAGGATTGTCACAACTCTACCTTTCTGGAGGGAGATGTTGATGGTGAGGGGGTGTGTGTGTGTATAGCTGGGAAGGGTGTATGTCAGAGCTCCCTGTACTTTCAATTATTCTGTGAACCTAACACTGCTGTAAAAAATTGAGGCTATTTTAAAAACAGAAGCTAAAGTACAAAGCTTCAGTAAGTCTAGCTGCTTTTTTGAACAATGAACAAAACACACATTTATAATCATAATTAGACTATATTGAACTGATAGGAAAGCAATACGTTTTGATAACAGCTGTTTTTCAGGACTAAAATCCCAATTTGATAAGTATCTGACTTTGATTTTTTTCTTGTTTTTCATGCCTTTCTAGCATGAGTTATGTGTTAAAAGATCTAGCTTATGAAAGTGTAGTTTCTATCACTCTCACAGCATGCTATGCTACATTACATAATGATACTGAGGCTAAATCTAGCTACAATCTGTTGTTTCAATAATAACAAAATGCATTAAGCAAATGGACTAAAATGGAATTATAGCTGCAGATGCTCAATTCTCATTTCTTTTTATTTTGCATCTTATTACAATATCAGGCTTCAGTGTTGGCCTCTGATCAGGTTGATCAACTAGTAATTATAAGTCTGTATTTAAATGTTCATATCTTTCTGCAAAGCAGTAAATGTCTAAGTTTCTCTATTTGACTCTTTGAAACATTCAGTAAGTAAACTAATTCATTACCTTATCAGCAAAATTCCCTACTGAATGATACTGTGTTTGGACTTTTACAAAATTATTCAAGTGCAAATTCACTTAAAAGAGATCTCTCATCTAATTTATTCAGCTAAAAATGTGGGCCATTTGTGCTTTATTCACAGTGATACCCAGACATATGATGATGTATTTGTCTTTGGTAAATTGTTCCAAATAAAGTTAATATATGTTATCTGACATCCATCAGCTCAAAAGATACACAATGGCTCATACTCTGACTTGGGAGTATACGTCATAGAATCAAGACACTGTGGTCAGGAGTAAAAATAGAATATGCCTTTCAATAGGTTTTTGAGTAAATACCAAAAGGGATGAGATATCAAGTTTTGTTAAACAATTGTTGTTAAGTTTATTATATCAGATAATATTGAGAATTACAATAAAATTTTAAGTACATTACTGAATGGTTTAATCTTTAATTCATTGCTATTCTTTTTATTATTTTCTCAATATTTTGTAATATGAAAGTAACAGGTATAATAGAAATACAGTAGAAAAAATAAAATAAATTTATCATTTTAATGCACAGACATTTGATGAATATTACCCCATACTCATTTAAAGGTATAACAAAAATTGCATTTTATAAAAATAGAGCTACATTCTTTCATCATATAATTTGAAAGTATTAAATTTTAACTAGAAAATTTGCAATTCTTGGACAATGATACTGCCTCTCTTTTTGGTCTATTGTGAATAATGATGACTTTGTCAGCCCTGAATATGTCTCTGCACCTTCCTGGTTATTTCTGTAGGATAAATATCTAATTTAGACTCCAGGGAGTCCATTGAGCAGGTGTAGTTTATATATATATATATATATTTTTTTTTATTTAAGTTCTAGGGTACATGTGCACAACGTGCAGGTTTGTTACATATGTATGCATGTGTCATGTTGGTGTGCTGCACCCATTAACTCATCATTTACATTAGGTATATCTCCTAAGGCTATCCCTCCCCCACCCCGCCACCCCACAACAGGCCCCGGTGTGTGGGTGTGTGATGTTCCCCTTCCTGTGTCCAAGTGTTCTCATTGTTCAATTCCCACCTATGAGTGAGAACATGCAGTGTTTGGTTTTTTGTCCTTGTGATAGTTTGCTGAGAATGATGGTTTCCAGCTTCATCCATGTCCCTACAAAGGACATGAACTCATCATTTTTTATGGCTGCATAGTATTCTATGGTGTATATGTGCCACATTTTCTTAAACCAGTCTATCATTGTTGGACATTTGGGTTGATTCCAAGTCTTTGCTTTTGTGAATAGTGCTGCAATAAACATATGTGTGCATGTGTCTTTATAGAAGCATGATTTATAATCCTTTGGGTATATACCCAGTAATGGGATGGCTAGGTCAAATGGTATTTCCAGTTCTACATCCCTGAGGAATCACCACACTAACTTCCACAATGGTTGAACTAGTTTACAGTCCCACCAACAGTGTAAAAGTGTTCCTATTTCTCCACATCCTCTCCAGCACCTGTTGTTTCCTGACTTTTTAATGATCACCATTCTAACTGGTGTGAGATGGTATCTCATTGTGGTTTTGATTTGCATTTCTCTGATGGCCAGTGATGATGAGCATTTTTTCATGTGTCTGTTGGCTGCACAAATGTCTTCTTTTGAGAAGCATCTGTTCATATCCTTTGCCCACTTTTTGATGGGGTTGTTCGTTTGTTTTCTTGTAAATTTGTTTGAATTCTTTGTAGATTCTGGATATTAGCCCTTTGTCAGATGAGTAGATTGCAAAATTTTTTTCCCATTCTGTAGATTGCCTCTTCACTCTGATGGTAGTTTCTTTTGCTGTGCAGAAGCTCTTTAGTTTAATTAGATCCCATTTGTCAATTTTGGCTTTTGATGCCATTGCTTTTGGTGTTTTAGACATGAAGTCCTTGCCCATGCCTATGTCCTGAATGGTATTGCCTAGGTTTTCTTCTAGGGTTTTTATGGTTTTAGGTCTAACATGTAAGTCTTTAATCCATCTTGAATTAATTTTTGTATAAGGTGTAAGGAAGGGATCCAGTTTCAGCTTTCTGCATATGGCTAGCCAGTTTTCCCAGCACCATTTTTAACACTTCAATGTACATTGTTAAGTTGTTGCGGTGATTTTGGGGTGTATTAACCAGAACAGGCAATCGGGTCTCCTGGAACCCTTTCCCTGTGGGATTCTGGTTTAGGACTGGCCGCAGCAGAGGTGAAGGCATCTCCGGCAGCTACCGTGATGGGAGTCTGTAAGAGATGAACACAGAGCTCTGGTCGGTCTAGGGTCCACTCTGCTCAGCCCTCAGCTCTTTTCTGAACTCAAGACCAGTTTACCAACAACCAGCCATAGGCTCCATTCTCTCCACTGCCTGCACCCCACGTAGCCGTGGCCTGGCTTCCCAGATTTTCACAAGCTCCAAATGAACCCTGCATGCCTGTCCGTGACTCAGGAAGACTGACGGGTGAGTCTCCTTTGACCTATGATGTCTATAGCCAAACCTTGTTTCCCCAAGCCCTCCCACCATCATCTGAGGTCTAATTGCTGTAATAATCCTGCACTTTCCAACACTCATGACTGTTCTGCACCCCCCATCAGTGGGTGTCAGACAGAGTAGCTGCAGCAACAAACACCTTACCTGTCCCATGAGCCTGGGTTTGGGGCCAGGCAGAGTTCTGAAGGGGTAGAAGCAAGAGTGCTAGAAGATTCAGGAAGAGCAGCCAGAAGGGGTCCTGGGAAGGTGGAGAGAGCCAACCCCTGCTGCCAGCACGCTCACATGTGGCCGTGGGGAAGGCAGAGCTGACTTAAGCGCCCCTGGATTGTGCCAAGGAGACATCCAGGCCAAATGTTGAAAGTGACAGCTGGTTCCTCTTAGCTTCTTAGGAGGAAGCACAGGAGGAGAAAATGTCTCAAAGATGCTACAGTTCACTTTCCAGGCAGAATTAGAGAAAAACAGTTTCAATGCAAGACTTCTGGGCATAAAAACTATTTTTTTTTTTCTCATTTCCATTCTTCTTAGCTTGTATGAGGCTCTCAATGTTAGAAATAACATGAAGGCAAAGATCAAATCCAGAACTCCCCCAGGGCATATGGCTTTGGTATTTAGACAGAGATCCCAGAACAGCTCTAAGGCCTTTGTGGCAACCTTAACAAGGTGAAAGCTGGGTGGGGCTCTGTGTTCCATGCCTGTAATCCCAGCACTTTGGGAGGCCGAGGAGGGCAGATCACCTGAGATCAGGAGTTTGAGACCAGCCTGGCCAACGTGGTGAAACCCCATCTCTACTAAAAATACAAAAATTAGCTAGGCATGATGGCACGTGTCTGTAATCCCAGCTACTTGGGAGGCTTAGGAGGGAGACTCACTTGAACCCAGGAGGCAGAGGTTGCAGTGAGCTGAGATCATGCCACTGCACTCCAGCCTGGGTGACAGAGCAAGACTCCATCTCAAAAAAAAAAGAAAGGTGAAAGCTGGGACTGTGTGCCCTCTCTCCTGGACAAAGGGTCTTGTAGGAATTTTTAGTGGAGAGAAAATTGCTATCTTAAACAGAGGGATGCACCTGGTCTAAGAAAAAGCCAGTTTAAAATGAAAGGAGGAGCCTCGCCTCAACCTTCTATAGGCTGAGGAAGCCTCTAAGCTGCAAAAGAGACCCTTTCCTTCGAAAAAGGAAGAACGATGCAGACAATGACTCCATTGACTAGTTTATTTCCTTAATAAGCAATTCGCTCTGATCTCACTCTTCATTCCACGCTGTGTACAGGGTGTGAGAATACAAAAATCTATATATTTACAATGCTTAGTAGCATAATGTACAGAGCACATATGTAGGCTAAGAAAAAACAGGATGCCACTTGGAAGAATAAAGTTGATTTCAAGTAAGAAAAAGAGTAATGTTGATTCCAAGTAACAATCAAAACTCACAGAAATCTTCTAGCTCACTTTTAAAATGCCCAAACTATTTTTGGAATGTGTATTTTCTGTGCTTTGGAACATTTATCACACCTCCTACACATCTGGGGTGAGCGATTAGTTTGAGATGAGTGGCAACGTACACTCACATAAATAGAGGTCTTCAAACTTCATTTTTAAAAGTGCTACTGTAATTTACAATGACATCATTCTAATTTTGACATCTTAATACGTCTCCATAGGTTTGCTTTGACAATGTTTTGTTATGTTTTGACACTGTTTGTAGTTTTATTCTAAAGCCTCGGAATTTTAATTCTTTGTTTCACGTCAGAGGCACAATGGAAATCAATTAAAATTTCTCCTGCTTTTGGAATGGAGAGAAGTACCCTGAGACTTGACTGATGATTTTTACTTTACTGCCATGTGAGATAAGTATAATTCACATATATAACTCGAACAGATGTTTAGGGTTTTTAAAATTCCATTTACAAGTAACTAAAAGTTAAAGAAAATAATATTGCAATTTGGTTTCACTTCATGATTTAGGCTTGGAACAGGGAACTCTCAGAAGTTGGAACTTGGTGAATAATGATTTCTCTAATCATCCAAATATGTGTAAATGAACTCCCACTAATGGTCAAAGTACATTTTCACATGTGTTTAAAATTATCGTGTGCTCCAAATAGAGTACTCAACATTGACCTAATCTTAGAAGCAGGTCGTCCAGCGCGATGGTGGCCACAGCCTTGAGACCACTGGTGGAGCAATGAAGATCCCTTTGTATGCAGTTACGTTTAAGATGCTTCAAACGGGCATCTTTCAGGGTTAAAACGGATTGAAAGAGTAATGACCAACTCCATGTGTCCTGATGACTAAGTCAATCCTTAAATCCCATCTACAAGGACCTTCCATCTCTGCAAAGTTTTCAAAGGGCCACACCTCACATTTGGAGTATGCTGTGTGTATTCAAAGGGCCACACCTCACATTTAGAGTATATTGTGTGTATTCCAAGGGCCACACCTCACATTTGGAGTATGCTGTGTGTATTCAAAGGGCCACACCTCACATTTAGAGTATGCTGTGTGTATTCAAAGGGCCACACCTCACATTTAGAGTATGCTGTGTGTATTCAACAGCTTTTATTGCTGTGGGCTTGTATGTGCTGACTATAGAGTACCCTGCTCTTGTGAAACCACGGAAATAAAATCTATTGATAACTCACGATGTAGTCCATGTACAGTAGCTGTTCTGGCATCCACACCTTCTCTTATCTGGGCAAAATAATCCACACACATTTTTTTTTCAGTTCTCAGTGTGATGTGTGCATGTATGGGATGCCCTGGGGTCTCCTGCCCTTCCTAATGGACCTTCTCTGGACATGCCTTTACACCATCACATTTTAATGTTTAAAAATATCTCGTTATGATGGTTGATTGTATGTGTCAAATTGACTGGGCTAAGAGACACCAAGATAGCTGGTGACTCATTGTTCTGGGTGTGTCTGTGCAGGTGTCTCCAGATGAATGAGATGAGAATTTGAACCCATAGGCTAGGTAGAGAGCATTTGTCTCCAGATGAGATGAGCGTTTGAACTCGTAGGCTGGGTAGAGAGCGGGTGCCTCCAGATGAGATGAGTGTTTGAACCCATAGGGCTGGGTAGAGAGCAGGTGCCACCAGATGAGATGAGTGTTTGAACTCATAGGCTGGGTAGAGAGCAGCTGTCTCCAGATGAGATGAGTATTTGAACCCATAGGCTGGGTAGAGGGCAGGTGCCTGCAGACAAGATGAGCACTGGAACCCATAGTCTGGGTATAAATCAGCTGTCTCCAGATGAGATGAGCATTTGAACCCTTAGGCTGGGTAGACAGCAGCTGTCTCCAGATGAGATGAGCATCTGAACCCGTAGGCTGGGAGAGCAGATCCACCCAGCAGGTGGGCAGCATCCAATCCACTGAGGGCCTGAGTCAAACAAACATGTGGAAAAGGGGAATTCTCTCTCTCCTCTGAAGCTGACGCACCTTCTCCTGCCCTGGGACACCTAAGCTCCCAGTCCTCAGGCCTCGGGAATAGGACTGGGAGTCATGCCGTGAGCTCTCCTGGCTCTCAGGCATCTGGACAGAGGCTGGATGACAGTTTGGCTTTCCTGGGCCTCCGGCTTGCAGAAGGCAGACTGGGGGACTTTTCCATTTCCAAAACTGCTTCTGTCAACTCACATAAGACATCTCCTGTTACATATCTATTTATATCCTATTGGCTCTGTTTCTCTAGGGAACTCTGACTAATAATGTTATTAATAATTCTTTCTAGAAAATATTAAATATACTATTGACTCAGCTCACGGTTCTGGACTGTCAAACCCATTATGAACACGTATTCTGCCAAATATCATGTGCACTATTTAAAAAAATATATGCTGTTTTACACAGGTTAAATCAACAGGACCTCCACTCTTCACACATCGGAAACATGGTTAAAGAGAAGGGGACCAGGCGTGGTGGCTCTGCAGCATGTCAGGCTGCTGTGCTGGCCCCAGAAGGACCTCGTGCTGCAGGGCCATTGCTCAGCAGCTGCCAAGCCACTGTAAGGAGTGGCCCCATTGCCTGCAGTGCTCTATTTCACACCAAGTCTTTTCTCTACCATTTCTGAATAATGAGGCTTTTTCATGTCTTTGGCTTTCATAGTACTGAATAGTTTAACTCACACACACATACACACACACACACACGATGTTAGAAACATCTGAAAAACTAAGTCTCAGCTGGGTAGGGTGGCTCACACCTGTAATCCCAGCACTTTGGGAGGCCGAGGTGCATGGATCACTTGAGGTCAGCAGTTCAAGACCAGCCTGGTCAACATGGTGAAACCCTGTTTCTACTGAAAATACAAAAATTAGCCAGGCATGGTGGTGCATGCCTGTAGTCCCAGCTACTCAGGAGGCTGAGACAGGAGAATTGCTTGAACTCAGGAGGCGGAGGTTGCCGTGAGCTGAGATCTGGCCACTGCATTCTATTCTGGTGACAAAACAAGACTTTGTCTCAAAAAATAAAATAAAATAAAATTAAAAAACTACGTTGCCCCTCCAAGCAGGAGGACATGGATACGTCCTGGAGGCTATGGTCAAAATAAGTCCATGGTGGCCATGTAAGGCCCGAGCATATTACATAGCATTTCTCTATCTCCTGAAGCCTCACACCATGCCTTCCACAAGTGAGACAGGGTCCCAAAGACATGTGGGTGAGCCCCACTGCAGGCTTTGCATAGCAGGTGCACTTACTGATTTTAATTATAAAGGTAACACACTATGGTTTCCCACCAGAGAACAATAAAAGAAATCCCAACACAGGAAGGTAATGTGGTCCCCCCACACCCACTCTGCCCCTCTAGAAGGAAGCCTGCCGACCGGGAGATGGTTTCTCCATCTGTTCATTTCCACGCATTCACACTTCTGTGTAATCATATGCGATCATGTAGTTTTCTTATGGAAGTAGATTTCAAGGCCTGTCTATGTCACAATTCCGTGTGATCATATGCGCTCTTGTAGTTTCTTTATGAATGTGAATTTCAAGGCTTGCCTATGTCACACTTCTTTTGTGATGAGGGGAGTGGTCATTTTACATGTTTAAAAATAAGGGGTTCCCTGCTTGAAGGATTTTTTGGCAGCCAGGAGGCAGAAGTGTGACTGCAAAGTCAAATATGGTTATGCAATCCAAGATACTATTTTTAAAGGAATATATACTACTTAAGAAATTTAAAAATTGAAGAAATTAATACTAATGTAAACTGGTTTATAGTCTTCCCTGGGTAAGCACAAAAAATGAATTTTGATTTATAATTTTATGCTGTACTTCCATGTATTTGATTTCATAAAGCCACACCCTCATTAGAGATCTTGATACAAGTGCACCCCTAAGAACTTTCTCAAGTCAGATTACTGTTTGTATATACGTGTGTTTGTGAATTTGTTTTATTCCAGACATTTGAATAATAGTTATTCATTTTCTCCCATCTACATGTTTCTTCAGAACACATTTATGGGATATCCGGACTAAAGCAAGCCAAGTGCTAACCCTGTATTTTCTGAGCAGAAATATTTCCTACACCAAAAGAGATGTATCGTGATGATGTAAATTGTTCCTATTTGGAAAACACCAATCTGTGAAGGCACCATAAAAAATGTGGCTCCCTAGTTCTCACTTAATAAAGATGATACACACATATGTTGTTCAAGATGCGCTGATTGAAAAAGGGACCATTTCTGAAGCATTTAGACATATGGTTTCCTTTTTTTGTTGTTGTTGTTTCAAGAATAAATAATAATATTTAAGCTGGCAGACAGAGATACACTTCAGTTAGCCAATTGACCTGGAAATATAATCGGTAGTTGTGAAGTAGGTCTGAGGCTGGTGGTTGGAGGAATCCTTAGAGTAAGTTTTCAAACATACATTTTTCTGCCTCTGCGTTGGGCAGCTCTCAACATCACTTAACCCCTCACGAAAGAGGGAGATGTGAGCACCTGGAGAAGCACACAGAGGGAGGAAAGGGCGTAGAAAGACAGAGACAGGTGACACGATACCAGGTGGAAGTGACACTGGTGTTTTGCAGAAAAGACTGTATTGGAACCCCCTAGGTCTGTGCTCCGGGGGTTGACTCTGGTTTTCCACTAAATTGCTACCAGTTTGAGGCAACAGCGATATTTTATTACCCAACTAAATATTTATTAATTGTTGACCTGAGCTCTATTTTTGCATTTTCCATGCTTCTAATTAGGTTTTGTTTGTTTGTTTGTTTTCTCATGGAATGTCCTACATGCCTAGATTACAGTTCTGAGATAACAATATTTTATTTACAACTTTCTGAAGTAAGAGGAGAAGCAGTACTGTTTGTTTGCTGGGGCTTCCAGCACAAAATAGCACAGACCAGCGACTTAGAAAACAGACACTTATTCTTTCACAGTCCTGGAGGCTGGAAGTGGGAGATGACGGTGTGGTCAGGGTGGTTCCTCCTGAGGCTTCTCTCTGTGGCCTGCAGCTGGGCCTCTTCCCCTCTGTGTCCTCACAGGGTCATCTCTCCGTGCATGTCTGTGTTCTAATACTTCTGCTTCTGGGGACACCAGGCAGAATGGATTAGAGCCACTATAATAGTCTCATTTAATTTGATTATCTCTTTAAAGGCTTTGTTTCCATACAGAGTGACGTTTTGCAATATTGAACATTAGCACTTTGATGTGAATTTGGGGGTCACTCAACTAAGCCCACAGAAGCAACATATTTGGCATAGTAGCTTTGAGCGACTTCATCGTTCAACATCGACAGCAACCATTTCTTCCATCCCAGCTTCTTCAACAATGAGACCTTGCCCCTTTCCATGAAAGATGGTTCCCTCCTTGAGCCCAGGTAGGCCTGGGACCTTTCCTCCCATAGCACATAGCAGAAGCAACGCGATGTGACTTTTGACGCTGGGTCACAAGAAGAATAGCAACACTAGCTGACCCGAGCCACCGTCCGGGAAGTCCCTACACTTGTTGCCTGCCGCAGGGTGTGCAGAGCAGGCCAGGACATGAACAACCCCGGGGGATGTCCTGATGGATGGTGATGGGAGGAGCCCTGGGTGAACTTCCTGAAGGACGGTGATGGGAGGAGCCCCGGGGGACTTCCTGATGGACGGTGAGGGGAGGAGCCCTGGGTGAACGTCCTGATGGACGGTGATGGGAGGGATCCCCTGTGAACATCCTGATGGATGGTGACAGGAGGAGCCTTGCATGGACATCTGATGGTTTGTGACAGGAGGAGCCCCTGGGGACATCCTGTTGGATAGTGACAGGAGGAGCCTTGGGGGACGTCCTGGTGAACCATAGTCTTGCTTCACCATGGCCAGGCTCCAGAAGTGTAAGTGAAAAGGAAAACTCACGTAATTCCAGCCCCCAAACCTTAGACAGAGGGCTTTGGCTTGGTCCCAGGTGGGGCAGAGCTAGAAGGGCCATGCGCGGGTGTTAATGAGAACCGGGGTGCCAGGGGATCCCCAAAGGCTCCAGCAAGGCCCTGAGGCTCCTTGCAAGGCTGGTGGCGAAGGCGGCGCTGGTGCTGGAGGAGGCTGACCCTCCTGGTGCCACATCAGGACGCTGGCAGCGGCCCTCAGAGGGCACAGGGGCAATGATGATCAGGTTAGGAGACCGGGGCCGAGTGACAAGGGACCACCGTGAGCTAAATAATGATCTATTCCATTTTCAGGCAGAATTTTCTAGAAATACAAATGAGCCAGGGTTTGCTTTGTCTAAAAATCAAACCATTTCTCATCCCCAGTCTCTGCCTCAAGGAAAAAAAGTACCAGGGGGCACAGAACAAATCCTGGAAAATGGGGCCTCAGGTGAAGATGTGGGGAGGGTGTTCCTGGAAATCTACCCACATTCTCCCTCATGGATGCTTCTAGACAAGATCAGAGCCAGACAAGAGGCTGCATGTGCCTCCAACCCCTCCTCTAAAATTCAGGGCTTGCGGGAGTGTTGGGGCGCAGCGGCTCAGCTGTCCCCAGGAAGAAGAGAAGAGCTTGTCTGGAAGAGCCCAGCTCTGGATTTTGCCCAAGGCAGCCCCTTGCTGTTCTACAAGACAAAGTTTTCAGGGAATCAGGGAAATGTGCCAGCATGGACAAACATGAACAGATGTTGTAGAAACCACAACTTCTTATAGGAGGAGGCAGCTGACAGGGAGAGCCATACACCAGGCATTTCTCTCTCCCTTCCTTCCTTCCTTCCTTCCTTCCTTCCTTCCTTCCTTCCTTCCTTCCTTCCTTCCTTCCTTCCTTTCTTCCTCCCTCCCTCCCTCCCTCTCTCTCTCTTTCTTTCCTTCTTTCTTTCTTTCTACTAAAAAAAAAAATGCCGTCCATGTGCACAACATGCCCAGGACCAGATGGATTCACAGCTGAATTCTACCAGAAATAAAAAGAAGAGCTGGTACCATTCCTTCTGAAACTATTCCAAACATTTGAAAAGGAAGAACTCTTCCCTAACTCATTTTATGAAGCCAGCATCATCCTGATACCAAAACCGGTAAGAGACACAACCAAAAAAGAAAATTTTAGGCCAATAACCCTAATGAACATCTATGTGAAAATCCTCAATAAAATACTGGCAAACTGAATCCAGCAGCACATCAAAAAACTTATCGACCGCGATCAAGTCGGCTTCATCCCTGGGATGCAAGGCTGGTTCAACATGTGCAAATCAACAAGCATAATCTATGACATAAACAGAACTAACAGAAAAACCATAGAATTATGTCAACAGATGCAGAAAAGACCTTTGATAAAATTCAACATCCCTTCATGTTAAAAACCCTGAATAAACTAGGTATTGATGGAACATATCTCAAAATAATAAGAGCTATTTATGACAAATCCACAGCCAATATCATATTGAATGGGCAAAAGCTGGAAACATTCCCTTTGAAAACCGGTACAAGACCAGGATGCCCTCTCTCATCACTGCTATTCAACGTAGTATTGGCAGTTCTGGTTGGGCAATCAGACAAGAGAAAGAAATAAAAGGTATTCAAATAGGAAGAGAGGAAGTCAGATTGTCTGTATTTGCAGATGACACGATTTTATATTTAGAAAACCCCATCATCTCAGCCTAAAAACTCTTTAAACTGATAAGCAACTTCAACAAAGTGTCAGGATACAAAATCAATGTGCAAAAACCACAAGCATTCCTTTACACCAACAATAGAAAAGCGGAGAGCCAAATCATGAATGAACTCCCATTCAAAATCGTCAAAAAGGGAATACAATGCCTAGGAATACAGCTAACAAGGGATATAAAGGACCTTTTCAAGGAGAACTAGAAACTACTTCTCAAGGAAATAAGAGAAGACACAAACAAATGGAAAAACATTCCATCCTCATGGATAAGAAAAATCAATATCATGAAAATAGTTATACTGCCCAAAGTAATTTATAGATTCAGTGTTATTCCCATCAAACTACCATTGACATTCTTCACAGAGTTAGAAAAAACTATTTTAAATTTCATAAGGAATCAAAGAGGAACCCATATAGCCAAAGAAATCCTAAGCAAAAAATACAAAGCTGGAGGCATCATACTACCTGACTTCAGGCATTTCTTAAGGAGGAGGAATGGGCCCTTGGAGGGTATCATCGGGTGTTGAGAATGGCTGTTTAGTCCAGTAAGTCTGAGGATGATCTCTAAGACATCAGCAACAATCAGATTGCAGCCGCTGTTTTCTTGGTCATAATTTTATGAAAATGGGTGCAAGCGACTCCCCAGTCTCGCCCTGTTGTCCAGGTGAAAAGCCCAGGCACCTGCCTCAGAGGATGTGCAGGAGGTCAGCCCCAGAGCAGCTGGCTGCAAGGAAGGAGATGTTTACAGTCAGGCTCACCTATGAATATTCACCTCATGGGGCACTCCATCACACACAAGCCCCTACACATACATAGCACACACAGCACACACAGAAACACACAAACATATACAGACATACACATACATGCACACAGACTCACATTCATATGCATACACACACCATACCACCCACACACACTAGACTACACATACACACACCACACTGCAAACACAACACATGTGTATGTACACAGAAACTCACACACATAAACATGCACATACATATACAAACACCCTACCAAATACACCACATACAGACAAATATAGACATATGCAAATGTGCACACACAAACATACACATGTATACAGATAACACATGCATACACACAGTGACAGAGGCTGCAGGAAGAAATGCAAAAAAATAAAAATAAAAGAAGAAAACACTTGGCTTTTTAAACAGATCAATAGCAGAACATTTCTGCATTCACAGCCTTCTGCCGATATTTCTGTCATGTCTGCTAAATATTTTGCATGAATGAATGAATGATTGTATTTTTAAAAAGTTATCATGAGCTTTTTCAGATTCTACACAGCACAATCTCTTTGGGACCTGTAAAATGCAATTTGCATAGAAAAACAGTTTTTAATGTAAACATGATCTTCAGTGTTTCTTAAATTATATGTTTGAATATATTTTTCATGTTAAATTACACTTTATTCTGTTTTGAGGTTTCAGCACTGTGTTGGCCTTGTTAACTTGGGCGCTCTATGAGGTGTGAGTGCCTGTGAGGTGTACAGTGGCTGCTTTGCCCATGACAGGCTCCGCGTATGACAGAAACTCAAAGCATGTCAACACCAGCCTGCTTCTGTCCTGGTTCTGTGACGGGATTATCTTTTTTGTGTCCAAGAAGATGTGCAAATAATAATTCAGCAGTTTTAATGGTTTAGTATGACAATGCAATTATCCAGAGGCACAATTCAGCACAAGTCCATATTATTATCTATTTCGGTATAATCGGTCAGCAAAACTTGACAGTTAGAATTACTGAGGGAAGTTGTGATAACTAGAATAATAATTCTTCAACATTATGCATCTTGGCATTGGTTTTGATATGTGCACCTGCCAACAATTACTTTTCAGCCTAGAGAAAAGCTTCACTCTAATTATATGATCTATGGTTTAGAGAGGGCTTTTTGCCATCCCTTCATCCCCTGTTAGACCAAACTGTTCTCAGATTCACAGGCAAAGGTCCATGCATCTGTATTTGCTTATAAGTTCAACTAAAATTGACAGTTTGCAGAGCAAACTAACACACAGTAGGTACTCAAGACAGAATTACTAAACTGATTATTTAATTCCATTTTTATCCACTGTATTCTTGCCCTGCTCAACAATGTGCTTAGTTTATTATAATGCGGGGGAAATTATTTGAATACAAAACAACTCAACGTTGTTATAAAACCCTTGCTTTGGATTTCAGAATTTATTTTGTTCTCAGTCTCTGCATCTCTCCTCTGCACGTCATAGAGTGAACTCTGATTCCATCAGAACATACATCATTTTCCCAGTTCAGGAGGGTTATAAACAATCCTTCTATTACTAACCACTGAAAGTATCGGTGCTGTGTTTTCAGATGTTAGCCCAGGTGTTATTGCTGCCATGCTGTGTGGCAGTGGCGTCCTTTGAAGTAAGTACATCCTTCCTTTTTTTCAGCAGTTATTTTCTATCCTGATCCCATTAAATTTGCACGTATAATTTGTTAGACTATACTGGAAAGGAAAATCAACTACTATCTTCAATAGAACTCATTTCTACCATCAATGATCTCTGTATCTCAGAATATTCCAGGGACCTAGAGAGAGGCTAATGCCTACCAGCAGAGAATGCCATAGACGTATATAAAACTTAAAGAGATCACTTAATTCTTAACAGATAAAAGCAAGCATTTTGGTTGTTGATTTTGGTATCAATATAATTTTCTCTACACAGCAAATAGACGATCAGCTTCAGTGATCACCTCCAGCCTTCACAATGTGACCCAACAAAAAGCAGGATCATAGGAGCACTTGCCGTGTGGGCCGGGTGCGGGGGCTTACGCCTGTAATCCCAGCACTTTGGAAGGCCGAGGTGGGTGGATCACTTGAGGTCAGGAGTTCAAGACCAGCCTGGCCAACGTGGAGAAACCCCGTCTCTACAAAAAATGCAACAATTATCTGTGCGTGGTGGCCGGTGCCTGTAATCCCAACACCTTGGGAGGCTGAAGCAGGAGAATCGCTTGAAACTGGGAGGCACAGATTGCAGTGAGACGAGATCCTGCCACGAGTGTACTCCAGCCTGGGCCACGGAGCGAGACCTGAGAAAGAAAGAAAGAGGGAAAGAAAGAAAAGAAGAAAGAGAAAGAAGGAAAGAAAGAAAGAAAGAAAGAAAGAAAGAAAGAAAGAAAGAAAGAAAGAAAGAAAGAAAGAAAGAGAAAGAGAGAAACAGAGAAAAGAGAGAAGGAAAAAGAAAGAAGAATGAGAAAGAGAGAGGGAGAGAAAGAAAGAAAGAAAGAAAGAAAGAAAGAAAGAGAAAGAAAGAAAGAAAGAAAGAAAGAAAGAAAGAAAGAAAGAAAGAAAGAAAAGAAAAGAAAAGAAAGAAGAAAGAAAGACAGAGAAAGAAAGAAAAAGACTCGCTGCATAGAACCTGCCTCCCAATGGAGATGCAGAGAAAGAAGGAACATTCGCTGGGTGGAGGCACCTTAAGAGAGGTTTCGTGAATTCTTTCTTGAGGTAGAGAAGCGCTGTGGGGAGAAAGCATGCACTCACCAGTGCGCCGAGCAGAACCTCACCTGAATATGTAAAACAGTGAAGAAGGAGAGTTTTGAACAGGGCTATTGAAGCGTGAGTTAGGTGGATCTGAGAGACTGATGACTGGACCTTACTGGAAATGCCGCTGGAAGCAGGGTCAGGACGGAGCCCGCAGGAAACGCGCCTGTGTGGATGGGCTGAGTCACGATTTTCCCGCCTGGCATATATGCTCTTATATTTGCTCACTGGTTTAGAGTGAGTCTATTTGTAACAACAACAACAACAAAAATAAAACACTTCAAATAAACAGGACTCCTTTATTTATGAAGGACAGCTCTTTATTTACGAAGGACAGCTTTACTCAGAACATCTTGAATGATAAAATCCACAGGCAGTATGATTTCGTTTGGTAGTTAATGCTATTTTCTTTTACAACAAAATAGCTTGCCGGACTTTCTGAACAGCATGGTGTAAGAGGTAAGAGGCATTTTGTCTCTGCCTCTCGTCATAATGATCACGGGGCACATGGCTGTAGGAAGGGCCATGCCCTGAAGACACAGGCAAAGTGCCTGTAAATAAACCCTGAGTGGGCAACATGAATGGCCGCAGACCAGACAAAATGAGAATCCAGTTAAACAAGTGCATGAAATATGCCCCTTAGTCCACTCAGCCTGCAACACAAAAGCACAGAACAGGCAGCTTCTAAACCACAGACATTGACTTCCGTTCTGGAGGCCGGAAGTCCAAGATGGAGGGTCCCGCAGATTCCGTGTCTGGTAAGAACTGCTGTCTGGTTCACAGACGGTGCCTTCCTGCTGTGTCCTCATATGGTGGAAGGGCCAAGGAGTTCGGCAGGGCCTCCTACATGCAGACAGGAATTCCATTCACAGGGGATCTGCCTTCAGAGCCTAATCACCTTCTAAAGGCCCCACCTCCTAATACACTCGTGTTGGGGGTGAGGACTTCAACATGGGAATTTGGGGGAGCGCACACACTCAGATCACAGTAGGCCCCAACGATAAGAGAGTGTTCACCTGAGTTTAAATAGGGTTTGTTATTAAAATTAAAAACCCAAAAGTCCTATAAACCAGAGGCTGAACTACTAAACAAACACAAATAAGGTCTTATGCCTCTCCCATGCATTTCATACCAATAGAGACATCTGCCTATGACTCTTTCAAGAAATCCCTTATTTAGTGAGATATGAACTGGGCTCCTGCGATTTTACAGAGCTTAACATGATCAAAATTAGCCCCATGGACTAAAATTGCATTTGCACTTTAAGGAATTCTCTGTTCATATGACTATACTGAAATATTACAAGCTACCATTTCCTGCTGTGCATTGATTTTGAAAAATCATTTTACTGTGCTAAAAATATACCTAATATGTATGTTCTAAAAAGGTCTTTTTCTACAGAAACATTGGCAAAATCATCTTCATTGTTCATAGATTGTTGCAGCAGATCCAACTGAAGGATACACCAACCATTTTAATCGGACACAAAAGAACAGGCTGTCCTCACCTGACCACCACCCACAACAACCGAACTTTAATCAGACACAAAAGAACAGGCTGTCACCTGACCACCACCCACAACAACCGAAGGGCAGGGTGAGTCCATTTAGAGTCTCGAGAATTTCAGACGTGCATTCACTTTAAAGGTGAGATTATATTAATAGCAAAGTTTAAAAGTCACATTATACACAAAATTAATGAAATCATTAAATACCATAAATCTATTTTGAAAAATATTGCCTTATGAAGTAATTCTTATAGTTTTAATGAAAAATTATATAGCACTGTATTATTCATAAAGAACAGTAAATATTATTTTTCCAGCAGAAATACAACTTAAAAATGGAATTCACATTTTTAAAACAGAACTTTAAATTCCATTTTACTTCGAGCCTATCAGTATTTTCTGAAATGTGTCTAGAGTGCACCAGAAGTGTGATTTGAAGAGGACAAATGGTTTTCTAGCTCCAGAGTGGTTAAAATATAATCTGGGTAAGTAAGGAGAAATGGAAGTGCCTAACGAATCCAACGTGTGAGAAAAGCTGGTGAAGACAATTCATGGGGGATTTGATGCTCTGTGTAAAACAGAGAAGGAAGAAAGCCATTTAGTTGTGAAGGAGGCCCTTCGCAAATACCAGCAAAGGCAGCCCAGGACAGGGACGCTGGCCAACCTCTGCTAGAATCACGTTGCTGCTAGATAATGCAATGCACAAATAAAGTAACAGATCCAATAATGCAAATTTTAAAAGGGAGAAATTATGTTTATTTGCAAGTGATATGAAGTGAGGGGGAAGCTATTGCTTAGAATAAGCCCATATTTCCAGCAGGGCTCAGGACCATGACCCCAGGCTGAGGACTGAGGGTAAAGTGCCACTTGCCACATGGGGCCTCCGGGGGAAGTCGGGAAGAAACCTGCACAAGGATGAGACCGTCCCCCAGCAGGACTCCAGGACTCCATCCCCAGGGCCATGGCCACCCCAGGGCCATGCATGCCCAGAAACACCCTCCATTCCCTGCAGGCAGGAACAGCAGGTGCAGCTCCTCTGCCTGCCAGCTTTGGGACCTCTAGGACTGACCGCTTCCTGTCTGGACACCAGTCCTGTAATGCTCTCATCCTTGCTGTCTGAGCCTGGCCAGTTCCTACTGCCATCTCAGACGGCCTGTGGTCTGGTCCTCAGCAAACCCCTCTGGGCCAACTTCTTCCCTCCTTGTATCCTCACAGGCACCCGTTGCTGCCTCTGGCTACCCCCTGCAGCCATGCTGTCTTCTCTTTCACATCCTCGGCCACTGGCCTGGGGTGAGACTGGGTCCTTTCTCCTCATGCTCGGCCTAGAAGCTTCTCCCTCTTTCCTGCCTGGAGCCTTGCTTTAAACCCATGTCAGCACGTGACAGTGGTAGCTGCCTCTCTTGGGGTAAACAGACCTGACACGAGGTCAGGAGTGTCTGCAGCTTCTTTGGGAGCAGGAAGAACTTGGGCAGGGAGCAGAGAATGAAGACAGAAGTGGGGCAGCAGATAGGAGCTCACAGGTGCGTTATCAAGTCACCTCCACTGTATAGGGAGGAGATGCGGCCTCCAGGAAACTGAAACTGCAGGCTTCTTTCCTTTCAGGGACAGCTGTCACCTGAGTCCTGGTAGTGGTTACTGGAAGGCTGAGGGGAGATGGGGGACATGGCATTGTGTGTTGGGGGGTTCATTTCCTGCATTTCTGTCCAGGCTGAGACGCCCAAAAGTTCCCTGTGTTCTTGTACTGAGCATTCAGAAGAGTGGCCATTCCAGCTTAAAAATAAAAGCATAAAACAGACAGTGACAACAAAACAGCCACCTGCGACTGCCATCCATCTGAAAGCCGCACTGAGCTCGAGTGGCCGCGTTTCTGCTGACCCAAGGTGTTGCAAGGTCGGGGAGCTGGTTCTCCTCCTCCATGGGTCTGAGCCCAGGCTGCCCTGCTTTTCCGCCAACCACCAGCTGTTATCAAAGGGAACAAAGCCAGGAGAGCAGGCGGAGAATCCCCCAGCTCACACACAGTGGAGGGCCCTCCTGAGAGTCCTGGTCAGCACCTGACAATGGACAGCACCGTCCAGGCTGCTCTGCTCAGCACCCTTGCCCAGCCACAGGGGCCACGCTGTGCCTGCTCCAGCCCACGTGAGGGCCACCCCACGCACCTGGCTGTTCAGGGCCCTGGCCATGGTGGACACCCAGGCAGGGACACCGAGCCCCACCTGTGCTCACTCCACAGTTCCATCTGTTTGCTTCTTAACCAGAACCTATTGTCCCCAGTCTTACAAAGCTTATCTTACCAGGCCCCTGACAGCCAGTGGAACCCTTCACTGCTGACAAGAGCCCAGGCCTCATGTCGGCACAGGGAACGTTCCATCCACACCAAGTCAGGGAATGGGAGAGTCTTCACAGCTCTCTGCTCGGGGCCGGGAGCCTTCCCACTTCTGCCATTTGGGGCCACATTGTCATCACAGCCACCCGAACTTGGCCTCCCCAAAAATGTGTCCACACCATGATTTTTAAAAAGTAAAAATGGAGGATGATTTGGGCAAAGGGACAAGTGTGCAATCAGAAAGATCAATTCAGAGCTTTGTAAACATCTGAGGAGAAAAATGGTCCCAGAATGTCTTTCTGGTTTATCTCAAGAAAACCATGTAAAAATTCCCAGTGGCAGGTTGCAGTTGTCGTAACCTCTTAATAAATCATATGATTACCTACCTCATTTTGCTTTGGTAACCACATGATTAAGTGTGCTAAAATTAAATGTTACCTTCCTTCTAATGCTGAAGTACTTCTGATTATTCTAATAATATGCAAATTGCATCTTTAGAACTCAAACTACATAATCACCTGAGTATTCCAGTAAGAATTCAACTTATTAATTATATTAAAATATATTCAATTAATTAAAGCCAGCTCATTGCAATTATAAACCTGCAAATAAAAAAAAACATAAACTTTCCTCAGAAAAATAAGTGATTGAAAAGAGAGACACTTTGGTTGCTTTTAAGTGTATTTATGAAGTCATTAAAATTCACAGATTGTTTCATACAGTGTCTCCCACGACATCTTATTATGGACTGATTTGAATCAATTGGTAATGAAATGACTCGAACTTGTAATAGCAATTAAGAAATAGGGCTGAGCACGGTGGCTCATGCCTGTAATCCCAGCTCTTTGAGAGGCCGAGGCAGGCAGATCACAAGGTCAAGAGATCGAGACCATGCTGGCCAACATGGTGAAATTCCATCTCTACTAAAAATACAAAAATTAGCTTGGTGTGGTGGCACATGCCTGTAGTCCCAGCTACTCGGGAGGTGGAGGCAGGTGAATGGCTTGAACCTGGGAGGCAGAGGTTGCAGTGAGCCAAGATTGTGCCATTGCACTCCAGCCTGGTGACAGAGTGTGAGACTGTCTCAAAAAAAAAAAAAGAGAGAGAAAGAAATAGAACTTCCACACACAATGCTTTCACATTGGTCATCATCTTACGTCTGGGTCAGATTGGTGAAAGGATAAAAATCACCACTCAGCAACCAGAGCAGGGCATCTGATAGGTACTCCCACCAGGAAGAAGCAGGGCTCAGGAATTGGCTGGGTCACACTCAGAGGAACAGGCAGTCCTGGGAGGGCCTGGCAGAAACTTTGACACAACTTTTTGTAGTGTGTCGATATGTATCTGATATGGTTTGGCTGTGTCTCCACCAAAATCTCATCTTGAATTCCCATGTGTTATGGGAGAGACCCCAAGGGAGATGATTGAATCATGGGGGCAGGTCTTTCCCATGCTGTTCTCAGGGTAGTGAAGAAGTCTCATGAGATCTGATTGTTTTATAAAGAGGAGTTCCCTGCACAATCTCTCTCTGTTTGCCTGCTGCCATCCATGTAAGACGTGACTTGCTCCTTCTGGCCTTCCACCATGATTGTGAGGCCTCCCCAGCCATGTGGAACTGTGAGTCCATTAAGTCTCTTTCTTTTGTAAATTGCCCAGTCTTGGATATGTCTTTGTCAGCAGCGTGAGAACAGACTAATACAGCACTTATTAGGAAGAAGCTCAAAGGTGTTCCAGTCTAGGAGGAACACAGGAGCCCAGCAAGGGGTGTGCCTGGTTAGAGAACAAGCAAGTTCATCTAAATATAATAATTTAATGATTATTTTTCATGATCTGATCTAAACTTAGATAATCCCAAGTGTAAGAGTGGAATGTGGTGGTTCTCTTCAAGGCCACTGTTCTAACCGTAAGAGAAGCAACAGCAGAAACAGCAGCTAATCATTATAGAGTACTTTAAAGCTTATAGCTGAGGATTCAATAGAAAAGAATTTATCAGTAGTTATATAAGTTAAATTTACTTGAAATAAAGCCTATAAGTTTTGCCTGTAGATGCAGATATTTAGAAAAAAGGCTCAGAAGCCTGCGCACTTCCTGAAGACCACCATCAGTTCAATAACAATATGGAGAAACCCAGATCGTGCCAAGTCTGGTTTGGAAACAGAGGTGATTGTATAGCAGTAAAACACAGCCTACTTCAGAGGGTGCTCTTGTAAATGATAGAGAAACAAAAATGCGTGTTCCAAGGGGAAATGAAGCTGCTTGAGCTGTAGCAAAGCCCTTGCTCCTTGGGGGTTAGGGTCACTCGAGTCTCCTCTCTGTGCTATTAGTTTATGTGTCCTGTGTAATTAGTGGAGAAGTGCTGTGCACTGGCCGACTGAAGGGAGGGTTAAGGGCAAGACATGAGCTATGCTAACAGAAGAGGACAGAGGACAATTGGCAACACTGGGCCATGGTCATCTTCTGTATTGCTTCATATTTTGAATTTTTGGAGCACCTGATTTGGAAACTGTTGAGATAGTTTTTCCTTTGCTCCTAGAATTCCTAGTACAATAAAAGGCTAGACACTAGGTGAAGTATTTCAAATGTTTGATGAAACTCTTAAAATAGCCATGTGACTTAAGCAGTCTCTCCATATCCACTTTACATTTGATGAAAATGAGGTTTAGAAAGATTAACTAAGTTGCCTAAATTAGCATCCCTAGAAAGTTGCAGAATCATAGTCCATGCCCACGTGTCTGCCCCTGAGAGCCCACACATTTCCCAGGGCTGCCATCAAGAAGCGCCGCAAGGTGGAGGGCTTGCACTCCCAGACATTGATTTTCTCTGTGTTCTGGAGACTCAAAGTCCAAGATCGAGGTGTTTGGGAGCCAAGCTCCCTCCAAAGCCTCCAAGGGATGAGCCTCCTTGCCTCTTCCACACTCTGCTGTCCCTGGTATTCCTGGCTTGTGGTTGCACCCGTCCCATCCAATGTCTGCCCTCACCTTTAGGTTGTGTTCCTTGTGTTCCCCTGTGTGTCTTCACGTCTTCTTTCCTCCATGTGGTCTTTGTGTCTAAATTTCCCGTTTTCATAAGGACACCAGTCATATTGAATTACAGCCACCATAACGAACCTGTTTTAACCTGATTTACCATGTAAATGCTCTATTTCCAAGTGAGGTCACACTCTGAGGTGCAGCGGTTAGGACTTCAAAATACTATTTTGGGGGATTCAATTCAATGCATAACACACCCACCAACTCATGCCCTTCCCACGTGAGAAATACACCTGCCCCTCCCAACATCCCTAAGATTTTCCTCATTCCAGTGTCTACTCAAAGTCTCAATCTTATTATTTAAATTATCCAAAGTGGTTATGAGTGAGTGGCAGGGTATGATCTGTGCTGGGGCAAATATTTTTCCCATCTGTGAACCTGTGAAACCAGATGTCACATATTGGTTTCCGGGCAGTGCAGGACAAGTCCCCACTCCAAAAAGAGGCATCAGAAGGAGAAAAGGGCCACAGGTTCCAAGCACATCTGAAATGCAGCAGAGAAAAGCCCCTGAGATTTTAAGACTTGAGAACAACCCTCACTGTCCTGATGCTCTTGATGCGCTACCCTGAGCCTGCACAGGCTGGAAGCACAGCCTCCTGAAGCAGAGGAGGGAGTGGGTTCAACCCCGGTCCACACTCTCTGGGCCTGAAGTGGAGGCAGCAGCTTCGCCAGCCTCTGAACCACCCTTGAGGTCTTCCCTTTTCGTGAAGCATAGCACATGTTTGCAGCAAATTGCTCCATGAGCCCTGCCTAGGGAATCTTGACAATTGTCCAGCCACAATCTTGGTTTTCTCTCCAGAGTATATTTTCTGAGTTTTTGCAGGATAGGTAAACTGAGAATTTTCCAAATCTTCAAGTTCTGTTTTTGTTTTTGTTTTTTCTTTTTACAGAGTCTTGCTGTGTCACCAGGCTGATCTCGGCTCACCACAACCTCCGCCGCCCAAGTTCAAGTAATTCTCCAGCCTCAGCCTCCCCAGTAGCTGGGACTACAGGCATGTGCCACCATGTCCAGCTAATTTTTGTATTTTTAGTAGAGACAGGGTTTCACCACGTTGGCCAGGATGGTCTCGATCTCTTGACCTTGTGATCCACCTACCCCAGCCTCCCAAAGTGCTGGGATTACAGGCGTGAGCCACCGTGCCTGGCCCTGGTTTCCTTTTTCTTAGCAATCTTTTCTTCAATATACTTTTTCCAACTCTCACATTTTACTATGAGCAGCAAGAAGAAACCAGGCTCTTCCTTCAACATTTTCCTTAGAGATCTCCTCAGCTAAATATCCAAGTTTGTCCCCTACAGGTTATACTTTCGACACAACAAGACACAATTGCACCAACTTCTCTACCATGTTGTGGCAAAGATCATCTCCTGCGTTTTCCAATAGCATGTTCCTATTTCCGTCTGAGCCCTCCCCAGAATCACCTTTAACATCCATATGTCTACCAACTGTATCTTCAGAACAATTGAGTCTTCTTCTGACATAAATGTTAAAACTCTCTCTGCCTCTAACCGTTACCCAGTTCCAAAGCCACCCCGGCATTGTCAGGTATTGGTCACAGCACTTCCTTTCTCAGAACCAAAATCTCTCTTAGCCTGCTCAGGCTTCCAGAGCACAGGAACACACACCAGGGGACTTAAAGCCAAAGAAACCCACTGTCGTAGAGTTGTGAGGTCTAGAAGTCCAAAATCAGAGTGTTGTCAGGGCCAACCTACACCTCGTGCTGTAAAGGGGGCCCTCCCTTGCCTCTTCCTCCTCCTGGTCACCCCAGGCATTACTCACCCTGTTGACGGGTCCTAATCTCTGCCTCTGACTTCACGTGGATTCTTCCTGTGTGTGCATCTGTCTCCAAATGTCCCCATTTCATAAGGGCACTTCTTTAGGCATTTCATTAAGGCTCACCCTAGTGATTTCACTTTGAATTGTTTGCTTAAGATCACATTTTGAGGTAGTGGGGGTTAGGCTTTCTACATATCTGTTTTAGATAAAAATTCCAAATTCAGACAAAATTCAACCTATGACAAAGTCATGCTATTGCTATTACATACTCGACCTATAACGAAGTTACACTATTAACTCACTACTACATACTCAGTATAACAAACTCACTCTAATACTCACTACTACATACTCAGTATAACAAAGTCATGGTAATACTCACTACTACATACTTGGTATAACAAAGTCACGCTAATACTAACTACTACATACTCGGTACAAAGTCATGCTAATACTCACTACTACATACTTGACCTATGACAAAGTCACACTATTACCACTGCCCAACCAACCTATAACGCAGTCACACTATTACTCACTGCTACACACTCGACCTATAAGAAAGTCATGGTATTACCGCTGCATATCCGACCTACGACAAAGTCACCCTATTACTCACTGCTGCATACTCAATCCCAGATTTACAATCGGAAGCCTCTGCTGGTGAAAATATGGAAGTCAATACTGAATGTCCCTTTCTTTGCCATAAAACTGCCATCACACAGAAGAGAGAACTTACCAAGCAATACCAACACATTCATTCTCCAATAAAATTATTAATTTCTTCATTTTGTATACATTCTTCCTGTCTTTTTTAAGTTCCATTCCATATATATTTTATTCTCAATAAAAGTTTTATTTTTAATTTTTTTCAAACTATCTCAGCACCATTTGAAGTTTTATACTTTCACATCAGAAAAAGTCCTTAAATGCTTAAAGTCAGAATCATATTAGGTGACAACCTAACCTAACAGCATAATTGGAACTAAGTCAAATATCATGATGCTCTAAACGTCATCAACCTATCAACACTCCATGCTCCTTTTGAGTAGTTCATACCCTGCAAGGATCTGGTGGGATGTTTTCTCAAGGAAGGAAATGTATCTGTCAGTTACAGATTCTCATTCGATGCAATAACCTTCTTTCTCAGGAACTTTCCTATGTTAATACAAGTGACATCACCACAGCGGTGTTTCCCATTTCATTCTGAAATCAAAATAACTAGTACTATCGGTTTGAGCCAAAACATTACGATTTTAACATCATATCATCAAGAAACATGGATGGCGTCTATTTCCAGGCTGTTCTATTTGTTTAAGCCCTGTCATTTTGGTTTCCTTACTTTTTGTATGAACAAGAATCATTTTAATAGATTTTGTTTTTCAAACTGAGCTGCTAGTTTCTGACTCCAGCAGCCATTCGTTTGTCATTTTCGAGTTCTGCCCTTATTCCACAGCCGCCCAGGCCCTGAGCAGTCAGTGCCAAGGACCTGCTAAGACCTGCTTCGGTCTCTGTACATTCTCCTGCCTGAAGTGAAATATGTAATGCATCTGCAGATTTTCTCTTCAGCTCCAGAGCACTCATTTGCCATTTCACATCTTTTGCTAAATTTAGCAGTTAACAATAGCTGGGACATGGGCTAGTCTCATGGGAACACTCATTCCACAACTTCTGGAAGTGTTGCTGAGACAGCTTTGGGCTGGACCCTTCGCCTCCCCTCGGCTGAGGAGAGCCAGCTCCCCGTCATGCCCACTCCCTGGGCAGCCCCTACGCCGACTCCCCTGTGTGGGCCACATGCCCAGGTCTCCTCTCCTCAGAGGACAACTTTGAGTTCCACGCCAGCTTGAGAGCTCCTCGAAGGAGGGTCTGGGCCTTTCTTGAGACTCCATCACTGTTCAGCTTCTCCCTCTACCCAATCCTGCTCCCTCCACTTCCCCGAAGACGTCCGTCTTGAAGACGCTCCCAATAAACTCCTGGCAGGCAAACCCAAATCTCAGGCCGGCCTCCCCAGAACTGTTTGGTGATGGTGCTTCTAAATCCTGGAAGTCTGGGTATGAGAGTGGAGGTGAATTAGCGATTGTGCGTGGCTTATTTTACAGATGAGGAATGAAAGTTACCATTTGGAGCATATTTCAGTCCTTTTAGCACTATTGAACTTGGCGAAATTAATTCTTGCTGCAATAACGATGGATGAGAAACTCCCATATAAGGAGGAAATAAAGCTACCTCTCATAAAACGAAGGGCATGCTGTTGGGAATAGTTGTATTAAGATAGAGATTGTCTAACAAAAGATGATGCTACCTCCTCACCCTCCAAATGCCTGCCTGCTTCTTCCATATATAAGAAGCCATGAATGCTGAGGTCTCATGGAATCCCTCACAGCCCTGCCATTGCGGCCAGCATCTTTTCAAATAGAATGAATTGTCAAACAGAACGCATTGACATGTTCCACAGAGATAAAGATTTTCACTTAGTCATCATGCTGCCACAAGTTCCTTTGAGTTTTCCTGTGTTTATTGTTTTGTTATTTTGTTTTCTGTTTTGCATTGTTTTTTACAACACCAAAAAAGCAGGCTGTTCCCTTCCTCCATCTCATCAAATACAGGTGCTGTTACTGAAATTTTCTGCAGCATGTTTGTCAAATTCAGTATTGAATGAAAATGATTAAGAACAAGAAGAATAAAACATAAAATCTCACGTAGGATGAAAACCCATGGGAAAGAGTTTTGCAGCAATAGGGTTGTAGCAAAGTTTTATTTTTTAATTCAATGCATATTGTCATAAAGATTTGCATATGAGCAACAGGACGACCTTAGCTACAGAAGACGTGAGGCTTTGGTGCTGTGGCTGGGAGTGGTGAGCTTCCCCCTTGGGCTCCTCACATTCAGAATGTGGGTGCTGGGGTTGAGTATGGGTAGAAATTCTCCCCTATATTTACAGCCATCATTTATACAGACAGTGGTATCATTTGGGGCTATACTGCCCATATAAATAGCTATTGAAATTTAAGTTTATTTATTAATTATTTTTATTTATTTGTTTATGTTTTTAAGATGGGGTCTCGCTCTGTCACCCAGGCTGGAGTGTAATGGCACAGTCTTAGCTCACTGCAGCCTCTGCCTCCTGGGTTCAAGCAATTCTCCTGCCTCAGCTTCCCGAGTAGCTGGGATTACAGGTGCATGCCGCCACGCCTAGCTATTTTTTTTTTTTTTTTGTATTTTTAGTAGAGACAGGGTTTCACCATGTTGGCCAGGTTGGTCTTGAACTCCTGACCTCAGGTGATCCACCTGCCTCGGCCTCCCAAAGTGCCGGGATTACAGACTTGAGCCACTGTGCTCAGCTGTTTTTTGTATTTTCAGTAGAGACGGTTTTTCTACATGTTGGCCAGTGTGGTCTTGAACTCCTGACCTCAAGCGATCTGCCCACCCCCTTGGCTTCTCAAAGTGCTGGGATTACAGGCGTGAGCCACCACATCCAGCTCAATTATCTTCTTTCTATGCCCTCATTAGACCCCAATAAGACACAGTGCTGACTCATACAAAAATATAACATTTATACTTTCTTTAAATGATATTCAGAACAGCACATACATTTATTATATATGAACTATTAATATCAGAGAATCAAATACACCAAGATTAATACCCTAAGATGCACACATCCCTATATGCTAAATTGGTGAATTACTTTAAAAAATTATATGTGTAGACAAGTTTATCAGCCTTTATATTTTTACCATTCTACTTCAAATCAGTGTGGAAAAGGGATTATTTATTAAATAACATTGAAACTTGTAAGTTGGGATATTGAAAATAAATATGAATTGGCATACATTAGGGTAAGATAATTATCATAAACAACCTCCAAATCTCAGGATGTAACACAACAAGCAGGAGATATGAGCATGCTGGATCCACAGAGTCACTCAGGGATGGAGCCTGCTGGAGGCCCACCAAGTTAGGCCCCCAACAGCCCTGGAAGAACACATCAAGCCAGGAGGCTGGGAAGATGGGATTCTGCAGGAAATGTGGGACTCAAATCTGGAATTCTGACACGTTGTCTTGTCTGTCTTCCTTTGAGGAGGCCTCAAACTCATGGCCCCAGTTTTACCCAGGGGCGACTAGCAAAGGCTGTTCGGTTCAGTAATGAGAAGCAAAATGCATTTAGGGTGCTGTGGATGTTAACACTTTTTCTGCTATGTGAGGGAAATATCTCACACCTGATATCAAATTACTTCCAGATGGAAGACAGGATTCCTGTAAAGTCATTAACATTACACTGCATTGATATTAGAGATTTTTAAACTAATATGAAGTTAGAAAAGAATGTTTGAAGACTGACAAAATATCCAGAAAGCAAGAAAGAATACTGAAAAATTCAACTACATAAAACTCAAATATTTTCACCTAGAAAAAAAGAAAAACACTTCAAGCAAAGTCGAAAAACAAATGGCAGCCTGAGATAAACAATTTGCAATGTACCCCTAGAGTAAGGATCAGGGGTGCAGAACTTGAAGAAGACTATGAAGTCTAAAGTAGAGTTACTTTGATTTGCTAAGTTGTAGGTAAGAGCAACTTATGTCATATAAGAATCGTTAGCTCAAGTTATGACACAAATATTTAGATGTATGCTGTGTGGATATTCATCTGTACTGCTGTGCTGAGCCTCATAAACATGAGAACAGCAACACAAACTTTCAATAAAGTGAACTTTATTGAGGGTTTGGGGAAGGATTATTGAATTTAAATAAAAGTTTTTTTTTTTAAAGAAATGGTTCAGTGCAAAAGTAATTGCGGCTTTTGCCATCACTCAATAGCAAAAACCACAATTACTTTGGCACCAACCTAATTTTTTTATATGGATGCAATTTTAATTACATTTAAAGTCTCTACCTAAAGCTTGAAAAAGCTAAATATTTTATCTTAGCCATATTTTACCTAGAGCTGATGGTTAGATGATTCTGCAAACTGAAATAGAAAAATTAAACTGAAACTGAATATTAAGCTTCAAATTGCACTCTAATTTTTAACCTCTAGTATGTTTGATACCTACATGAATAATACATCTCACCTCTATGTTTTTCTACTATAGGCATATTTTGGGCATACCATTCCCTCCTCCCTGATTGGAAAGGGAAAAAAAGTAAAATCTGTCAAAATCAAAATTTTCATACACTTTTAATAAATGTAGATCAAGATAACATTTTCTTCTATTGTTAAGACTTTTTATTTGCATTATATGTATATTAGTATCTAGAGATAAATAACTTTTTAAAAATCCATGCTTGTTTATCCCATTTCACAACCCTAATTAGAAACCTGTGGTCCATGTCTTATATTTCAGCAAGTAGATGGTGAGAATTAGAGAGAATAAATCTCTGCTGATACTCTGTAATCTTTATGTTTATCTAAAAATTATGAAGCCAAAGTCCTTAACCAGCACAGAATAACCTCTGACATTTTAAAGAGGGTTACATAAATATTGACAACCTCTCATGGTTTGTAACTAGAGTAATAAACTATTTCAGACATCACCAGCACCACCTGTACCTTGCTAATCCTTTTACTCCTTGTCTTGTACTATCTTTGGGGTTTTAGTTTGCTCTCTGATTGGTTTGTTCCGCTTCCATTCTTAAACTCCCAAAATCTTCTGTTAAAACAGGTCCTTGGTGAACCAATCTATGGAAATTCTTTACACTAAGTTTACTTCTTGATAATGTTCAATGCATGCAGTTTCTGCAAAGCCCTGCTCCAGAGAAACAAGTTCAATGTTAATACGACGTATGCCAGACAGATTCCAGCACAGGGCTCTGCTTTAATATTCTGTGGGCCCTGTTTGAGAAAGGATGAGAAAGGAGGAATGTGATGACTCCAGTTTCTTATAAAAAGTTTTGAGGCTTGAAAATAGGAATTATTTCTGGTCTGACTAGATCAGCTAGTGAAAACACATTTCTGGTCTCTTAGGACCAACTAGCCCATGTCCCAGCTATTGTTAACTGCTAAATTTAACAAAAGATGTGAAATGGTAAATGAATAAAATATTGATCAACAGCTTCCAGAGAAGATGCTTAATGATGTTTCACAGAGAATGCCAGAAAAATGCATGAGCACTCCCACTTAAAGGAGTGCTTGAAAGTCTGACTCTCATAGAAAAGCACTGTTATAATAACAAGGAAAAAATATCATCTTCTTTAGCACTATAGACTATGCAGAAGGCAAAAGACAGGGTGTTGGTCACTAGGGCAGTGAATGAGAAAAAAATCATTTAGGTCAAAGAGCGACAAAGCACCATGATAATTGCCCACTGCAATTTGGAAGGAAGATGCCATATTTCGGGTTTAGTGAGAGAGGAAGCAAAAAGAGTTTTAAATTTTCAGGCTGAGGCACTATTCACAATAGCTGAGATGTGGATGTCACCCAAGTGGCCATCAACAGATGAATGGATAAAGAAAATGGGGTACCTATACACAATGGAGTACTATTACTATGGTACCATAGTAAAAGTACAGTATCGTACTCTAGTATTTACTGTAAAAAAGAATGAGATCCAGTCATTTGCAACAACATGGAAACAACTAGAGATCATTATGTTAAGTGAAATAAGCCAGGCGCAGAAAGAGACACAGCACATGTTCTCACTTATTTGTGGAATCTAGAAATCAAAACCGTTGAACTCATGGACATAGAGAGTGGAAGGATGGTTACCAGAGGCTCGGAAGGGCAGTAGAGGACTTGGGAGGGGGCGGGGTTGGGGGGCAGGTGGGGATGGTTAATTGGTACAAAAAAAATAGAAAAAATGAAGAAGACTTACTATTGGCTAGCACAACAGAGTGACTATAGCCAATAAAAAGTTAGTTGTACCTACATTTTAAAATAACCTAAAAAGCATAATTGGATTGTTTGTAACTCAAAGGATAAATGCTTGGGGATGGACACCCCATTCTGTATGACATGATTATTCTGCCTGCACGCCTGCATCAAAGCATCCCATGTACCCCAGAAATATAGACACCTATTATGTACCCACAACAGTTTTAAGATTTTCTAAAATTAAAAAATAAATAAATTTGAGCCTAAGATTAAATGTGCTAATAATCAAATTTTGACTGAAATTTATTATAGTTGAACACTGACATGAAAATGTGTGCAAACAAATGCTGAAAAAAAGTAATACTACTTCAATGCCAATTGTTGAGTCCCTACAGCAGCTAAAATCGTAACTTAGGGACTCATAACAAGCCTAAAGAATCTTAACAACACTTGAGTGAGGTGAAATAAAGAGAAATCATCAGGACCCTCGAAAATCCTATGGATTCCTTCAGACTTCCGCTTTCTATCAAGTGCTTGCAGTTCCATTTTGACATCTGTTTCATCACAAATATCAGTAAAATAAAAGCGCAGATGCTGGAAATTCCTGGGATTACTTTTCACTGTAGCTGCTTCTCACATGGGGCACTCTACATAAAATACTATGTTGTACAGATTACAATAAAAATAGTATGAAGAGACTCTCTGCTGAAGTTGGAATTTATTAAAACTGTTCTAAGTATCATAATTATCAAAACTTCAATCATAGTTTTCAATTGTTACCATTAGGTTGTAGTTAACAATGATAATAAATAATATTCATTTAATATAACAATATTTATATAATCATATTATATAAATAATAATATTTAATAAAATTAAATAATGAGCCCCAATAACATAAGGTGACATAGCAAAAATTGATATATCCAATAAATCCCAAATAATTTTCATACTCTTAAAATTATACTTTCAACAACTGTGGTTTATAATTGCTAAGACTAAATATTACTTAACTTTTAGAGTTATGTTTAAAGCAAACTTTGATGTATACAAATATACTTTGCCCTCTGGGCAAAAAGCTACCTCTTTAAAGTAAAACATTTCTAATATTTTTAGGAATGTAGGGATTCAAATATTTCTGTGTTAGAAAGAAGTATATTCATATCCCATAGCAGACAATACAGTTGAAACTACAAATAAAATTTAGCTAATAAGGAAGGTAAAACTATATTGAACGCAATTCTCTTTCTCCTGAATGTGTCACTCAATGGTGAAATATCATATTGAATTTTATAGGTCAACAAGCCAACCCTTCACTACTCAAACTTTTTCATGTAATTTAACAAAATGCGTTTCAACCTGTCATAATTAAATGTTTTGTAATCAGCACTACAAATAAGATGTCATTCTAAAGTGCACTTCTGTTAGCAAGATAATTACATTGCTATCAATAATAGTTTGGTGAACTAAGTTTTCGTTATTTTTTTTCTGACAGTGATTTGGGAGATTATTTTGATAGAAGTTTCCAGTGAAGGAAATAATATGTATTTTTTTCTAACATGACTTGTGTGTGCATGAGGTAAGTACCGGGCACTCAGGCTGAAAATAAATTTGTGTATCTCAAAAACATGCTTTGGATGTGTATCCAAAAATCATATATAGAAAAGATTTCTAAAACCAGGGCATGCTTGTCATTATTTGAGATGTGGGATCATCACATATCCTATTTCCAATATTTCAACTTCCTAGAGAGAAAGCATTTAAAATGTGCCACTGATCACTTGGAGCATTCGATTCCATCACTGCAGATGCTCCTGATCTCTAAAACATCCCTCACTCCTGGACTCTGCAGCCCAGCCTGCTCACTCAATCGCTGCTTCCTGCAGGAAGAACAGTGTGCAGACGGCTCTCCTCATGATCATGCATAAGCACAGTTCCCCCAGGATGCCAGTGGCAGGGAAGAGCACTCACCACCTGGAGGACTGAGCCAGGCAGCCTGAACTGTGAGCCCAAGAGTGCGCTGGGCTGGGTGGGGTGTGAGAGCCTCCAGCTTCCAAAGCCTGGCCGGATCTCACCTGGGACAGGAGCAAGACCATCACCCTTCATCCCAGTGCAGTGTCCGTGAAGACCAGAGGGGACCTGAGAAAGCCCCTGGGCACCTCCAGCCTTGGAGCTCTTGGCATGTTTTCTGAGAATGCACCCTTCCTGTTTAATGCAGTCATCATTTTCTTTGACAAGATTTGCTTTTTTTTTTTTTTTTTTTTGAGTCGGATTCTCACTCTGTTGCCCAGGCTGGAGGGCAGTGGCGCAATCTCGGCTCACTGCAACCTCGCCTCCCGGGTTCAAGTGATTCTCCTATCTCAGCCTCCTGAGTAGCTGGAATTACAGGTGCCCACCACCACCGCACACCCAACTAATTTTTGTATTTTTAGTAGAAACAGGGTTTCACCATGTTGGGCAGGCTGGTTTCGAACTCCTGATCTCAAGTGATCCGTCCGCCTTGACCTCCCAAAGTGCTGTGATTACAGGTGTGAGCCACCATGCCTGGTCTCTTTGAAAAGATTTCTATGTGAGCATCCTTCCTGTCTTCTAAGATACTACCTCACCCACATAGTGCATCAAGTACATGCTCAATAAATATTTGACAAATAGAAGAATCAGCAAAATTTCTCTTGAAGACTACTCTGATCTCAGAGTTGAGCTAAGCTTTGTGACAGTTTTAATGGCTTTCAATGTGATACCCTCAAGGAGTTAACAATGTATTTAAGAAGATGATTATAATACATGACACAAATGTGAATATAAGACAGCATGTAATTGAGTGCTAAATTGTGTAGAACATAGTCCATGTACTGTCAAAGTTGGAAGGAGACAAATTAGTGAGAACTGAAATAGCTGGGAAAGGCAATGCATAGAAGGATTTGAGCTATGTCTTTAAAAATAGGGTTTGGACAAATACTGTCAGAGGAAGATACCCTGAGCCCAGAAACAAAGAGGAAGACAAGAAAAGTTCACTCTTCCCACAAACTGATAAAGGGACTACTCTGCAGAAAATGCTGGTTCAGCCCCCAGGGGAAATTCAATGATAAGTCAAGAGAACTAAATATAACTATCATGCATTGGCTGGTGGCTCAGAGTGAGACATGCTTTGAAGTGATTCACTAAGTTTATTTCATTCAGTTCTCACAAAACCACCTGAAATAGGCACCATTATTATCTCATTTTAGAGACAGGAACTAAAGCATGATGACATCAAGTTACTCAACATCATTGTGTTAGTCCATTTTCACACTGCTATGAAGAACTACCTAAGACTAGGTAATTTATAAAGGAAAGAGGTTTAATTGGCTCACAGTTTCACATGGCTGGGAGGCCTCAGGAAACTTATAATCACGGTGGAAGGGGAAGCAAGGCACATCTTACATGGCAGCAGGAGCGAGGGAGGAACTGCCAAACACTACTAAAGCATCAAACCTTGTGAGAACTCATTCACTATTACAAGAACAGCATCGGGGGAGACCACCTTCAAGATCCAATCACCTCCCACCAGGTCCCTCCCTCAACACACCTGGATTACAATTCAGGATGACATTTGGATGGGGACACAGAGTCAACCTTATCAGTCATTTAGCTAGGAGACTGTGAGGATGGATGTGAGTCCACACAAAAGCACAGGGTACATAAGGAGGAGGTTAGGGGCAGAGTCAAAGCAGAGGCCCAGAGTAAAAGTTTAGGGCAAAGGAGGAACGGGGGTGAATCCTGATGGGCGTTAGCAGAGGCTTCATGGATATGAACAGGGTCTCTTATGGATAAAGTTGCAGATCTCTAAACAGTTGAGAAAATCATTTAAGCAAATACTCATACAAAGAAAAGTACAGAATAAAAGAGCAATATACAATATATTTAACAAGCCTACATAGTATAATGTATAATAAAATATAACATATTACTATATAATTTTACTAACATAAGTATCTTAAAATAATGTAACGTGTAATGTAACAAGTCTATTTAATATATAATATGCAATGTTCTATAATTATAGTGATATCAATTATATTAAATAAAATGCAATATGTGGATAATATAACTATATATGATCTATATTGTTATATAATGTTAAATAAGATATATAATCTAACAAGTCTATATAATATATAAGATGTAATTTTCTATAATTATAGTGATATCAATTATATTAAATACAATGCAATATCTGAATAATATCACTACTCTATATAGGATCTACATTGTTACATAATGATGTTAAATAAGATATATAATCTAACAAGTCTACTGTCATGAAAACGATTCCTTGGTATTAAGTTCCTTTCAAATGCCAACATTTATGCTCATTTGCTGCATAACTGCGAGTGATTTGGCTTTGCATATTAGGTGAGAAATTACACAATTACAAAGATAATAGTCATGCCCTGGGATCCCAGCAAGCCAATGGCCCAGAGGACAACATGAAGCCCGGGCAGGTAGCTGGCAAGTATTCCGGAGTTGGTTGTTAGCAGCTCACAGTTATGCTCTTCTGAAAATCACCACGGCCTAATGGGGGCCGTCTTGTTGGGGGAGTGCAGGAGACTGCACGCTCCTGGGGTGCCCACCGGTGGCTGCCAGAATATGGTATACAAGCCCAGGCTCCTGCTCCAAGGGGAAACAACCCACTCCTCCATGGCCAGAGATCCCACCCATCTCCCTGAAGAGTGCTCTGCTGCTCCCCGGCCCAGCCCCTGCCCCTCACTCCCATTCAGGCTCATCCAAGCATCCTCCCTCAACAAATCACCTGCACAAAAATAGCCCCCATCCGGCTCTGCTTCTAGGAAATCCATGCTAAGACCAAAGGACACTTAAGTAAGTGAGATAAACAAATAGCAAACCTGCTCAACCCAGCACACACTCAAAACATGCATCACAGACCAGAAATGCCAAGGATTCAGGAGAAGAAGGAAATGGATTCACCTGTGATTTCTTTGAGCAGAGCAATGACCAGAAGTGGGCTTTGAAATGTGCAAAGAGCTAGTGTAAGTGTGGAAAGGCCAGGAAGCGACTCCAGGAGCTTAGATGAATTGTGAACACTTGAATATGGCTTGAGGTCTCTCCTGGTCCAGCTGCAGTGACCATGTGTCTTCCCTGCTGGCTCTTGCTCTCCTCTGCGCCCAGAGGACCCACTTTAGATTCTGAACTGAGTTCACCTTCCTTTTTCCACAGTGCATTTGAGCATGCTCTGCTGCCTGGAACTCTGACCCCCATCTCAACTCAAACTGAAGATTGTGTGTGTGTGTGTGTGTGTGTGTGTGTGTGTGTATACATGGACCCATGTTTAATGCCTGTATCCTGAGTTCCAAAGAGTCCAGGGTTATCCTTACACAGCAGCTACTACTTTTTGGAAGAAAAGACGGAAGTAAAAAAAAAAAAGGGAGGATGGAAAATAGATTTATATGGAAGGGTAATCAGAGCAATATGAGGGAAGGATTAGATACGTAGACATTAAAGCAAAGAAGAGTAGAGAGAGACTCCGTATAGAAATGTAGGAGGGACAGATGCCTCTGGGACTGGATGGACACACATTGGCATGTATGTGAAACCCAGGCATTGGTTGGTTTGCACTTGCATAACTCAGGTATAACGAAGAAACTGTTAGACATCTACAGGTCACGAAGTCTCTGGGTTTGTAGAAACAAGGACAACTTACAAGCATTTCTTGCTGAAGTGCGTTGCTGCTGGCTTGTTTGCAGGCATACCAGTGGAGATCCTTTCTTCCCTGGAGGAATCTGTGGTCCCACAGCTGCATGGTGGATGGAAATGCAGCCTATCTCTATCTATCTATCTATCTATCTATCTATCTATCTATCTATCTATCTATCATCTATCTATCTATCTCTATCATCTGTGTGGAGGACTGTGTGGGGGTTGGTTCTGCTTTGTTTTTGTTTGTTTGTTTTGTTTTGTTTTGTTTTGTTTTGATATTACTGAGCAATGCCAGTGGCATTTAGGACAAGAAACAGGGTTCTAATGTCCCTCAGGGTGTGGGACTATCCCTCAAGATGAAGGGCCATCCAGCGAAAATGCCCATAGTCTTTCTTCCCACCTCAAGAAATATTGGGGTGGTGTCAGATATCAGGGCAGTTCTCCAGAATAAAGCAGCATCTCTGCAACAAAACAAGTCATTAAAAATGAAGAAGAACAGTCAATTTGTTGATAATAATTAAATCTGAACATGATTTTTCTTTATCTTTGCTGTTCTTGTCATACACTCTGCGGTGTTTATGAGCGGATGCAATGCTCCGCTCCACCGTGCCAGACACGAGGACACCCCTCCCGCGGCTGCCTACTGGCTGCGCCCTGTCGCTTAATGAGGACAAACTCTTCTGTTTTGATTTGAAGGCCGTGCATCTTATGCAACAGACAGATGAAGAAGTGATCATTTCAGATCTCTTAAATATGCCCCTTTAGGTTTTTGTTCAGCTGTTCAAGGGAACCATTAAGGATAATGACTGCTAAACCAGCAATTCTGAAATGGAATAATGACGTGTTTCATTTGTTTCTAAACAGTTTCGCTGTTTTCCCACTTTTTAGAAAACTACGGCTCATCATGTCCCAACAATGACAAGACATTTTCCGAGTTATACATTCCGATGCTTCCCCTGCACAACCCCAGAAATGATTTTCAT
Organism: Homo sapiens; assembly: GCF_000001405.40. Taxonomy (NCBI): domain Eukaryota; kingdom Metazoa; phylum Chordata; class Mammalia; order Primates; family Hominidae; genus Homo; species Homo sapiens. The sequence continues at coordinate 1,992,769 of NC_000010.11, read as the reverse complement.
AAAGTGTGTGATAATCCCCACCGCAGACAGGCCTTTTGGAGGGAGTCAAGCTGCTGTGGGGCAGCATGTTACAGATGAGTTCATGAGAAACACCCATGCATGTGCGCTGAGTGCACCGTGTCTCTTCATGCTATTACGCGCTCGTATTAGAGGTTCGTCGTTCACAACTAAGCATATTTGGAAACAGCATTAATATGAAAGCTAGTTTGGAATTTTATTTTTTATTTACTTGTTTATTTAATTCGAGACAAGGTCTCACTCTGTCTCCCAGGCTAGAGTGCAGTGGTGTGCGATCATAGCTGACTGCAGCCTCCACCTCTTGGGCTCAAGAGATCCTCCCACCTCAGCCTCCTTAGTAGCTGGGACAGAAGGCGTATACCACCATGTCTGGCTAATTTTTAAAATTTTTTGTAAAGATGGGAATTTCACTGTGTTGCCAAGGCTGGTCTCAAACTCCTGGCCTCAAGTGATCCTCCCATCTTAACCTCCCAAAGCACTGGGATTACAGGTGTGAGACACTGCACGCTGTTTCAAATATTTGTATTTCTAATATCTGTAGCCTTTGAACTATGAGCTATTATTAAATATTACCTTATTATGTAGCACTTAGCTCAGGATTCTTTTAGGCATATATATGTTTATCATCTCCATCATCTATCTATCTATCATCTATCTATTTTTCTATCTAGCTATCACTCTTTACCTATCATCTATCTCTATCATCTGTCTATCCATCTATCATTGTTTACCTATCATCTATCTAGCTATCACTATTTCCCTATCATATCTATTTATCTATCTATATCTATCTATTTATCTATCATCTATCTGTCTTATCCATCTATCATCTAGCTAGCTATCTCTGTTTACCTACCATATATCTCTATCATCTACCAACCTATCTCTATCTATAATCTATCACTATTTACCTATGATCTATCTCTTTCTATCATCTAATCTATCACTACTTACCTATTATTCATATCTATCTATCATCACTAGTTACCTATCATCTATGTCTATCAATTATCTATCTATCGTCTATCTATCACTGTTTACCTATCATCTATCACTATCATGTATCTAGCAAAGTAGCTATCACTATTTAGCTATCATCTATCTATCTTTATTATCTCTCTCCTATCTATCTCTATCATCTGTCTATCACAATTTACCTATCATCTATCTATCTCTGTCATCTACCTATGTATCTATCTATCTATCTATCTATCTATCACTGTTTACCTATCACCTATCCCTATCATCTGTCCATCTATGTAGCTATCTATCTATGTATCTATCTATCACTATTTACCTATCCTCTATCACCATCATCTAACAAGCTAGCTATTACTATTTAGCTATCATCTATCTAATCTCTGTCTATCTATCTATCTATCATCTATAAGCCCTACATATTTCTTCTTTACATTACCTCCCCCTGCTTAGCAATGGAGCTCAAGATATGGCCCAGTCTAAATCTCTAAAAGTAAACTAAAATAATTGGAACTGTTACCCAGAAAATTTAGAATCTCAGTTTTCTAGTTTGTTTTGATTCTGGAAACTCAACTTGCAAATGTAATACTACTACATACTATACGTAATACTACAGTGAAAAGCAGATTTATTTACCCCCCATAGTCTGCTACAATGGTTTTGTCCAGAGATGAGTGGCTAAAAGAGCTATTGAGAAAAAGTTTAAAGTATGTTCTGATAAGATCAAAATTCCACTGGGTGGTTTGTAAATCCTTTCTTCTAGTGCCATGCACAACGATCGCATTTAGATGCCTCTATGGCTGCCTATATTTAAATTCCTACTTCATATTCTTACTCAAAGTGAAATTCTCTAAATCTTTGGGTACATTTATCAAAACATACATTATTGTTGTGGACTTTCCTTCAGAATATTCTTATGTTCTCATCTTAAGAACCTAAAATATTTTTGGTTTATGTAATAGGCACACTTTAAAATATAATGTATTATTTAAACAATATTAATGATAATTTTATAATTTTCAGCAGGACAATGTGCTTCCCTAGGTGAGGAGAAAGAGTAGAGCCAACAGTAGTTATCTACTCTGCCTCTGAGCACACCTTGGAAATAAACCACCCATGAGAAGAAGTCCCCCTTCTGATGTGGGGGGTTTGGAAGAGACGCAGGGACAGTGTTCACAGTGGATGGAGAGAAGTAACTGCACTACGCAGTGGATGGGGCAAAGTAACTGCACCCGCCGGGAAGGAAGGAACTGCTGTGGACATGTTCTTCCTGTTGGGATGAGCCACCGCCAACTTGAACATTCATCGTCTATGGTGAAAGTAGACATTAATCATCAATAACTTGCCAAGTTCTCCCTCCAAATATATTCCAGACCCCAGTTGCCATAAACACCTTGTGGCCTCCTTCCTACACACAATGAGAATCCTGTATCTTGTTCCACGTTTAGCCTTGGCCACCTACAGACACAGAAGCACACTGTTAGTTCAAATTTATTGTCTGTGGGCCAAGGCACCATGCACATAATTAAATCAGTTTTTTAATACTTTAAAATCAAAAGGTAAGATATTTCAGACACTCGGTTATGAAATAGACTTTCTTAGAAAAAGGACATAATTCTCTTGAAATCTGCCCTTAGGTTTTCAGATATTAAATTGGAAGCTGGAATGAGAACACTCATTTGCAGGATTTCATGCAGGGATAATGAACTAACCCCCATCCTCTTGTTCTTCTCTGTGCTGTTAGACAAACAGTTAATTTTTTAAAATCATATCCCCACCTTGCATTGGATTTTATCTTTCTCATTTCCTCATTAAAAACCTCCACATTTTGTTAATAATACCAGAAAGTCACTACTAATCAATTCCCAGAAATCTCCAGTGAGATTTGCCTGTTTCTACTCAACTTCTGAATTCTGCAATGCCCAGGCTGTCTCTCTAGAGAGTCTGACCTGGGCTTTCCTGGCCTTACGCAAGTGATGGAGCTCATGACTCCAGCCATTAACCCCTTCCCTGGACTCCTGTCTGATTTCTTCCACTTTATCTTGTTCAAAGGATGCAGTAGGCAAAGAGGCTAAAATGGACACTTTGTAACAGACACACTGGAATTCCAGTGACTGTCCTGCTCCTTCCCTCTTCAGCCCTCTTGAGAAACTTAGTTAACCTCTTTAAAAAACTAATTTCCTCAAGTGGCAAAATAGGATGATGATAGTGACAGACACATAGATATTTCCTTCTGAGTTTATTTCTTCCTCTTGTTTCCTAAGTGTGGATTTTCCTTAAGATTCAGTTTGATCCTTCCTGAACCTACCTTTCAGAACCTTCTGGAGAGCTTTGTAAAAGCAAGCATCTTGGGGTTTTCAGCCCATTACTGAATCAGAATCCCTCCAGATGGGGCTGAGATCCATGTTTGAAACCCGTTGCTTTAGCTGACGTTGTGCCCTATTCATCCTTCCCGTCCCAGGGCTGTGACCGCTACCTCCATGGTGTGGCTCTGCACATTGGGGGTCCCACATACTGGGGGTCCCGCTCTCTCTGCCCCTGAACCAAATGCATCCTCAGGTCACACAGACCCTGCCTGTCTGCAGACTATTAGCACATATTTTCCTTTTCTGTCACATTTTATGTCAATTTGTTTAGCATAATATAATTCTATGCAATGTAATCTTCCAAGCATCCTGAAATAAAACCATGCCTCCCATATGCCTTCTACTTCTGGTAATAAAATTAATAGGAAGAATATGTTGATAAAACACACTTGCTTTTGTTAGAACCCAATCTATTTCTTTTTAATTGAGACAGGCCTTTACAACTTTAGCCTAGTTAGTGGGAAAGACAGTAAAATAAATATAATATAGTGTCTAGTGGTAGTTTTAAAAATGCTATCCATATCTGTACCTATCTATAAATGAAGCAAATTTTGATTCAGCCACTAGCTAAAAAACTGACTTTCATATGATTCTCTACAAATACCAAGACAGTCTCATAGCACCTTAATCTTTCTTGAGGGGTATTGATTTGTAGTCTCTTTGTCTATGTAATGAACTACTTCTGTCTGACCTCCAGAAATTCCTTTCAGTAACAGGAAAAGAGAACCTCATGAAAATAAAACAAAATAAAATGTTAAAAATGAAGAACTCTACTAAACGATAATTTATTTTAAAGCAAAGATTAACTTTATCACTATTTATATACCCACATTTTCTGTGCTTAATACCTATGCAAATAACTGATAAGATGAATGAATGTGTAAATATTATTTCTAAATGAAACCCAAAGAACAAGTTTTATGTGACTATAATATCTTTATTAGCAAATTCATAGAAGTTGAGCACCATTACTCTTTTACTGTGTTTAGTAGAATGAAAGAACATATGTATTTCAATGATGTGGCTGCACCAGGTGAATCGAGGTATTTTGCCAAGTGCCTGATTTACAAGGAGTCAACAAGGGGAAACTAAGGTTGATGAAGAAACTGCAGTGGATCTGTTAGAGCCAAGTCGGTGTACAACACGGTTGAGCGCAGGCTCTGGAGCCAGACTGAGTGGGTTCAAATCCCAATTCTGGTTTTCACTAGATGTAAGAGCTTGAACTAAATTCTTACCTTCCGCTTCTCGATTTTCTCATCCACAAAAAGGGAAAATGGGTCCTACCTCATGGGGCTGTTGAGAAGCTAAACACACGTCTGAAGCCCCTAGGTTGTTCTGGCATGAAGTCAGTGCTCTAGCCATTATTACCGATGTCATCACCATCATTGCATAAATGGTATTCCAGGGAATCCCAAAGCATAATAATACAGTATGACACCCAACAGGTGAGGTATAATTATTGGAGAGTACTCATGTGTTGTGATGCAGCCTCAATTACCGCAGCCAAGTTTTAGAAGTATTTCTTAAAAAAAAAAAAAAAAAAAAAAACTAAGGGAAGACATGTCCCCATTGTGAAAACTTATAAACACACCTTATTTATTCCTTTCATGACAGCATAGACAGAAGAGGCCTTGCAATGAACAGATTCAAAATATCTCGTCAGTAAAGCCTCAGCTCCACCTCAGTGCCCTTGTCCCCACTGTGTCTTTGCCGTGCTGAACTTGACAGGGGTGGGTATCTAGGGCGTTCATTCATGAGAGGTCCCTCGCTTGACAGGGGTGGGCATCTAGGGCGTTCATTCATGAGAGGTCCCTCGCTCTGTGTGCCGCATGGCTGTGAGAATCAGGGACTCATGGAGCCATGTGGACCAAGTACCAGGGAATCTGATGTCAATGGCTACAAGAAGATGTTTAAAAAAAGAGTGTGTGAGTTTTGAGGTGAGGAAGACATTCTTTTTTTCTCCCCAGAGCATTTCAGTGGAGCTGTAAGAACTAAATAACGAGTGATCAGCATGGTTTCAGGTAAGTCTGGTGGTGGATGTGGACTCCATGAAGTGGGGAAGGTAAATGTTTAAGTACATAAGCTGGTAGAACTCATGATAGGTAAGCTTTACCCAAGATGGTAGAGGCATTAAAACTGTTTATAGTGCCGGATGCAGTGGCTCACGCCTGTAATCCCAGCACCTTGAGAGGTCGAGCACCATGGATCACGAGGTCAGGAGTTCAAGACCATCCTGACCAACACGGTGAAACCCCGTTTCTACTAAAAATACAAAAAATCAGCCAGGAATGGTGGTGGGCCCCTGTACTCCCAGCTACTCAGGAGGCTGAGACAGGAGAATGGTGTGAACCCGGGAGGCGGAGCTTGCAGTGAGCCGAGATCACGCCACTGCACTCCAGCCTGGGCGACAGAGCGAGACTCTGTCTCAAAAAAAAAAAAAAAAAAAAAAGAGCAAAAATAAACTGTTTATAGTCCTTGAAAAGTTAGTCAAAAAATTATAAAATAGAGGAAAAGAACCGCAAGACTGACTGACTTCAAAGAGAAATAGCACAGTGGATGGGTGAAGAGCACTCCAGCCTGGGAGACAGAGTGGGACTCCGTCAAAAAAAAAAAAAAAAAAAACTTTTATTGTAGTAAAATATACATAGCATAAAATTTACCATAGGTACTTTAAAAAATATTTTTATTGTAGTAAAATACACACAGCACAAAATTTGCCATTTTGACCAGCATAAGTGTACACATCAGTGGCCTTAATTTCATTCACTATAGGTGCGGCCAACACCACCATCTATTTCCAAAATATTTTTATTGCCCCAGATGGAAATTCTGTTCCCACTAATCAATCATCTTCTGGCTGACTTTATTTCTCTGCGAACTTGTCTATTCCAGATATTTCATGGCAGTGTCTCATCTGTCCTTCTGTGTCCAGCTTATTTCACGTAGCATAATGTTTCCAAGCTTCACCATGCTGTGGTGTGTGTTAGAATGCCATCTCTTTCATGACTGAATAATATTCCATGGAGTATCCAGGCCACATTTTCTTTATCCATTCATCCATTGATGGACGTTTGGGTTCTGTGCACCTTTTGGTTATTGTGAATCATGCTGCAGTGTACTTTGATGTACAAGTATCTTTTTGAGTCTTGGTTGCCATTATTTTGGGGAATATGCCTAGTAGTGAAACTCTTGTGTGATATGGTAGTTCTATGTTTAAATTTTTGAAACTTCTAAACTGTTTTCCATAGCAGCTGTGCCATTTTACCTTCCCACCAGCAATGCATGGCCACAAATATTTCAGTAAGATTCCAGAAACAATGAAGAAAAACCATGAAGGAGAAACAGTAAAGGAAAAAGAAAAAAAGAAGATCATCATTTTCCACTTATCCTTCATCTATTTGTTTTTCCCTTGAGGTGTAAGAATTCTTCTTTGGAGTTGACAGATATAATCTAGAATAAGCTTTGTACCAGGAAACACAAACTTAGGGTGTTCACCTTCAGCATCTGTTCTTCTCTGTCTGATTCTATGTATACATACATGAACTCCATACAACATCATTTGAACATGCTACAGAGAGACACTTGGTTTTGTTCCAAGTTTCCTTCTCTATAAAGTGCAAATAATGTCTCCATTATTTCTCACAGGTATTATCAATATTCTTATCCAGTCTTCCCTCAAACACACGATTTTCTTATCATTCCAACATCAAAGTGACTCTCAGAATCACATCAAGTTTTCTTAATTCCTTTCAGTTTGTTAGGCTACAAATATTTTAGTAAGAGTCTATAAACAGACGAGGTAAAAGGAAATAATCTCACACACTTTCTACTCGTCGTTGCTGTCTTATGGGGTTAAGCTTTACTTTTGCATTGCATTTAATTCACATACGCATTTCAACACACCCACCTCTCAGATCTGTCTAACTGTAAAATTCAGAAGGAAAACATAAGAAACCAGACTTCCATAGTCTTAGGAAGTAATTTATAAAGAGTATAGAAATAACATATGTGAAATGAGTAATGTTGTCACAGGCACTAAGAAATAGGAATAATTATTTTTACTTTTTTTCTTAGCTTGAATTTGTTAAATGACTGCTTCTACCTTATAGTGTTTATGCATTAATGTAGAGAAATACTTCTAACATGAATGGACTCAATCTCTGGGGCTTAACCTGTCCACATTTACAACTATAATATTGCCATGGATAACTGACATTTTATTGATGTAATTATTTATCATTGAAATATTTATATTGTTTAATTTCTGTAACAATTTAATAAAGTACTCTCTTTTTATCCTTGAGAAAACTGAGGCCCAGTCTGATCAATTTTGGATCAACTTCCCCAGCTTACATCTCTAGCATGTGACAAAACGTAGCCTGGAGCCCAGGGCTGGGGATTGGAATAGTTCCAGTGCACACATCCACGTATCTCTATGGAAGCTAGGAGATCACACATGGAAAACATAGCCTTGATCCCAGGGCTGGGGACTGGAGTTCCAGTGCACACATCCGTGTGTCTCTATGGAAGGGAGGAGATCACACATGCAAAACACTGCCTGGATCCCAGGGCTGGGGACTGGAGTTCCAGTGCACACATCCACATATCTCTATGGAAGCTAGGAGATCACACATGCAAAACATAGCCTGGATCCCAGAGCTGGGGACTGGAGTTCCTGTGCACACATCCATGTATCTCTATGGAAGGGAGGAGATCGCACATGCAAAATGTAGCCTGGATCCCAGGGCTGGGGACTGGAGTTCCAGTGCACACATCCACATATCTCTATGGAAGGGAGGAGATTGCACATGCAAAACATAGCCTGGATCCCAGGGCTGGGGACTGGAGTTCCAGTGCACACATCCACATATCTCTATGGAAGCCAGGAGATCACACATGCAAAACACAGCCTGGATCCCAGGGCTGGGGACTGGAGTTCCAGTGCACACATCCACGTATCTCTATGGAAGCTAGGAGATCACACATGCAAAACATAGCCTGGATCCCAGGGCTGGGGACTGGAGTTCCAGTGCACACATCCACATATCTCTATGGAAGCTAGGAGATCACACATGCAAAACATAGCCTGGATCCCAGGGCTGGGGACTGGAGTTCCAGTGCACATATCCATGTGTCTCTCTAGAAGGTTGGAGATTACACATGCAAAACACATTTCAAAGATTTTTGATTGAAAGGATATATTGTTGTAATGTATTGCTATTATTGTGAAAAACAAAAGAATGTCATTAAGATTCCTTTTTCCCCATTATATTAAGCCTTCATTAGAAACATTGTCAATCTTCAAAAGACAGTGTGGTGATTCCTCAAGGATCTAGAACTAGAAATACCATTTGACCCAGCAATCCCATTACTGGGTATATGCCCAAAGGATTATAAATTATTCTACTATAAAGACACATGCACACGTATGTTTATTGTGGCACTGTTCACAATAGCAAAGACTTGGAACCAACCCAAATGTCCATCATGGATATAGACACCATGGAATACTATGCAGCCATATAAAAGGATGAGTTCATGTCCTTTGCAGGGACATGGATGAAGCTGGAAACCATAATTCTCAGCAAACTAACACAAGAACAGAAAAAGCAAACACCTTGTGTTCTCACTCATAAATGGGAGTTGAACAATGAGAACACATGGACACAGGGAAAGGAACATCACACACTGGGGCCCGTTGTGGGATGGGGGACTAGGGGAAGGGATACAATTAGGAGAAATACCTAATGTAGATGACAGGTTGATGGGTGCAGCAAACCACCATGGCACGTGTATACCTATGTAACAAACCTGCACGTTCTGCACATGTATCCCAGAACTTAAAGTATAATAAAAAATGTATTTACCAATCAGTTGATGGATAGAGATTCTAAAGTTGATCTTGATCACTACTTCTCAAAATACAGCTATTAGGTTGCTGCAAAAGTAATTGCACTTTTTACCATTAAATAATTAAATAATGACAAAAAACACAATTATTTTTGCACTAGCCTAATAACCTTCTTTTGGGCAGAGCGTATCGGGATCATTGTTGATAAAGATAGAATTTTTCTTTCAAAATGGAAACGAAAATAGACACAAAAAATAAACTGGTGATATTCCACCACATAGGAGTTCTGACCTCGTTCTTCGGCAACTACTTGCTAACTTAATTACAATTTTAAGATAAGAAAAACATTGAAGATAAATATTTACTCTAAGACCAGAATAGATAAATATTTACTCTAAGACTAGAATAGATAAATTGGATGGCTTGTAAAGTGTCTCAAAAAAGGCAATGTTTACATTACATAATATAAAACGTAAATTAGATAAAATTTATGTCACTCTCTTCTTTATTAAGTGAATTCTATTGTGCAGAATTTACTAATAATTGGTTTAAAGCAATATAATAATTGTAAAATCGATGATAGTTTATGCTCTTAATAATGACTGTGAAGGTCTAGAAAGTGTTTGAAGTATACCTAGAATCATAAATAATTAGATTGAATTTGTGGAGAGAAGTGGAAGACCTTAGAGATTAAATTAAAGACCTGTGTTCTAATCTTTATTTTTCCACTTAACTGGAGGAATTATTATTCGGAGTGAATTATTGATCTTATAAAGACCATTTTCTCATCTGTAAAATTAGAATGCCATGTAATTCTCCTGTGGAAATTAAATACTTTAATAACTGTAATACACTTAGCACAATGCCTGGCCATATACTTAGAACTCAGCACCTGCTGAAAGTTAAGTATTTATGAAGGGATGGCACACATTTCTTCCTGTATTTACTAGTGCTCTCCTTTTCATTCTAACAGGCTACAAAGTCCATCCCATGAATTTTCCATAAAACAAAAATTTTTCATTAAAATAGGAGTATTCAGTGATAGATAAGTAAGTTAAGAGCTAATTGATTGACTTAATTTTTAGCCCGATGGACTGATGTTGTGTAGAAGTACCTTCCCATGTATCCACCCACAGCACATTCTATCAAAATCCAGTATAACAAAGTACACCTTCTTCTTAACAGGCAATAAAACAGGAAATAGGTGTTCTGGCTTATTCTTAAAGTTGTGGATTTGTAGCATCCAAAGAATCTTTAAAGTTCTGCAATTGGAAATGCATACCTCTGAACAATTAACCAGAATGCACATGTTGTATCTAATTTTATGTCTCTCTCATGAATATGGAAGAACCGTGAAGGATCACCAGCCATTGGAGGCAAACTTCCAGCAAGAAACACAGAGATCCAAATAAAGAAGCAGAAAATAGCAGAACTCAGAGTAAAGGGAATGAATGTAGATGACAGAATAACACTTCAAAACTCTAATCCCCGCAGAATCAGAATACTTTGATAAAGGAAGGCAGAGAACAAACAAAAGGTCTTGGAAGTTAAAAATACGTTAGTGGGAATTTAAAGAAACAAATAAAGATTTGGAAGGTAGAGTTGGGGCCATATCCCAAAATCGAAGAAAACATTAAAGATGTAGCAAGGAGATGTTAAAACTATTTTAAAGAACTGAAAAGATCTATTTAATTAGTCTGGAAAATATAACTAATAATATTGGAGAAAGAAATAATAAAGAGAGGAAAGGGAATCACCAATGATATCAGATGAAAAATAATTAAAAAGATGGAGTCGATGGATTTTCAGATTTAATGTATTAAGGCAAATGCATTTAAAGACTACTTACACGAAGGGCATTATCATTATACCCAAATACTAGGGATTAAGCTGATAGAGAGTGAAAAGAAAAACAAAAACAAGACTTAATAGGCAAAAAAATTTGGAATAAGAATGACATCCAATTTCTTAACAATACTGTAATCTAGAAAGAAAATGCAGAATGGGGTTCACAATTCTCAGGGCAGCTTATTCTCAAGTTAAAATTTTATGTCGGCAAACTAGTAAGAAATTATTAAGTTAATATCTGTAATTAGAACCATGCCTGACATGAAACAAGGACTTTTTAGTGTTTGATAAATTAACAGAATTGATAAGTAAAGGAAGACTTCTTTATACATGAAAGGTATCAATAATTATCTTCCATTTCTTCTTCCACTAGAAGCAAATGTGGATCACAGAACGGAGGAGCAAATCAATAAGACGAAAGACATTGGATCCTGCAAGTGTTGGAGCTTACACAGAGACAAAAAGCATCCCAGGAAGACACAGAGGGCTGCAGGAAGTTCTGTGCCTCGGGACCAGAGAACTAGCAAACTGGAGCCAGGGGGTTCGCGTTCCCAGGAGTGTCTTCTCCTGAATGAGAGACTGGGAACTGACAGATTACCTTACCGTTTTCATCGTATTGAAAAACATTTAAAAATATAGATTTGTCTAAAATGCTGAGATTTAATGGCAGATTTGTCTCACACACAAAATATGAGATAAAAGGAAAAAAAAGAAGCAATTAAAATATGCCAGGAAAAAAGGGGATTGACAACGCATAGTGGTACACAGTCACGCTAATGTAAACGTCACGAAGGATTTAACCAAAACTTATGACACGGCTAACTTGAGAATATGGGAAAAGAAGCTATTGAAGTGTGTATGTTTAGGCAGGAGGAGGAATTCCAAGTGCTTCTGTCTTCTTCCACAGAATGGATTCTATAGCTGTGGTCTATGAGTGCCTCAGTACCTGACAGTATAAGCAAACCACTGAGAAATCTGGAAGTGTGTTTTGTGCCAAAAAAAAGCACAAGTAAGACTTTTGAACGGCTTTGACTCTGGAGATCAGTGCAGGGTGTGGGAGTGACACGGAGGCAGCATGAGACAGCTTGCATCTGCAATAATAGTTCACTTTCAAAACTGTATTATGTTAACAGCCATATCATTTTTCTGTTTTTCAAAAATATTTTAAATATGCGTGGATAAAATTGTGTACAATAGTCAAACCTATGAGACACATGATTTTTGTATAATTCTCATCAAAATTCAATAAAATGGGTATTTAAATGCTTCACAGATGAGAAAATAGAATCCTGATTTCTAAATTATTTGCCCTGGGTCATTGACTTGTAGTAAAAGTGGACCTTATATAGAGGTTTTAAAATATAAGAGACCCTGATATCTACAGAATGCTCAGTAACACTAAATGCATTTTTAAAAATACAAATACTTGTGTTTGTCAATTGAGTGAAGGACTTGGTTTAAGTCTTCAGCGTCTTTGCATATAATCTCTGAACCCATTACCATGTCTGTAAAGTTAAGGTAATATAAAACTGCACTATCAACTGGAGAAGGATGGGAAGAGTGTAAAACGAGATTACCTATTTTTAAGCTAGTGCAAAAATTGAAACGTCATGTTCTGCCCTTGCCTGTGTGGTCATCCCATCCCCTAAAAGGTAGATGGGAAACTCGCTGCCATGCCCAAAACCTCCTTAAGGCAGTGGAAAGAGGCTTAAAAACCACAGACAAATGTGAGGTTTCTATTTTCATCCATTTGCTCATGTATTGAATCAGCACTTGTAAAGTGTTTGAACACTGCTGGTGTGGCATCTCTACTGCCAGCACTGACAACTTTCCCAGGTCCCTCGGAAAACCTCTGAAATGAAGGCAGTAATGATTCTGTTTGGCATGTAGATATTTCTTCACCAGGTAAAACCCAGGAGCTCTGATGCTGGGCATTTACTGAGTAACAAATCTACAGCATTAGCAGTGTGCATTTCCTCTTGCATCCTGAAGTATCTTTGCTTATGAAAATC